>NC_000006.12:115070790-115373820 GCF_000001405.40 Homo sapiens
CACATGCAAAAGAATGAAGCTGAACCTTTAACTCACATCATTTATGTTAGGTACAGTAAGTTCCTCTTCAAAGAGACGGGTTGCTCAGCCTCCTTGTTCTTTGTTCTCTATTTTCAAGCCTAACTTCCTCGTTCTTTGTACCTCTCCCTCTCCCTAGTTATGGTACATAACCTTCCCACCAGCCCTAATCTGTAATTTACATCTATTCCCTTGATTACCTGCTCTGCAATTGTCTTTCCTGCCAGAACCACCCTTCCCACTTTTGCTGTGCCCTAACATGCCCGGACATGCCTTCAACTGTAATGGACAGCCTCTCCCTTCCCGCCTAGTTAGCCCTATTCAATTTTAAACAGTAGCCAATCGGGTCAGCTTAGATTGTGCATCCTACTCCAGCCAATGGGGAAAGGACACAGCTCCAGGACCTGCTGCATTAGGGATGAAAACCCCTGCCCTACCCAGCTCAGTGTGCTCTCTCAGCAGTCAGACATGGGAGCAGCACACTTCTGCAGAAGTAAATTTGCCTTGCTGAGGAATCTTTCTTTTGTTCATCTTCATTGCGGCACTGAGCTTTTATTTACAACATTTATAAAAATTAACTCGGCTGGGTGCGGTGGCTCATGCCTGTAATCCCAGCACTTTGGGAGGCCGAGGTGTGCGGGTCACCTGAGGTCAGGAGTTTGAGACTGGCCTGGCCAACATGGTGAAACCCCATCTCTACCCAAAATACAAAAATTAGCTGGGCATGGTGGCGAGTGCCTGTAATCCCAGCTACTTGGGAGGCTGAGTCAGGAGAATTACTTGAACATGGGATGCAGAGGTTTGAGTGAGCCGAGATCATGCCACTGCACTCCAGCCTGGGCAACAAGACCGGAACTCCATCTCAAAAACAAACAAACAAACAAACAAAAACAAAAAACAAAACTCAAAATGGATCAAAGACTTACAGGTAAGAGCTAAAACTATAACACATAGGAGTAAACCTAGATGACCTTGGATTTGGCAATAGTCTCATATATGACACCAAAAGCATACACAATAAAGAAAAAAATAGATAAAACTTTGCAAAAATGTTTAGATGAAAAATTTCAAAATTTGTAATTTTTTAGATATTTTTAGATAAATGAAATTTTTACCGAGTTTCATTTTTTTATAACCTTTGTCCCTCAAAGGACACTGTCAATAGATACTATCAAAAAAGTGAAAAGATAGTATACAGAATGGGAAGATACTTGTAAATCATATATCTTATAAGGATGAAGTGTTCAGAATATATAAAGTATTCTTACAACTCAAAAACAAAAAGACACATGACTCAATCAAAAAATAAATGAACTTGAATAAACATTTCTCATAAAAGATAAACAAATGGTCAAGAAACCACGTGACTGACAGGATGTTCAGCATCATTAGTCATTAGTAAAACACAAAACCACAATAAGATGCCACTTTATACCTACTAGGATGGCTG
Source organism: Homo sapiens (assembly GCF_000001405.40). Taxonomy (NCBI): domain Eukaryota; kingdom Metazoa; phylum Chordata; class Mammalia; order Primates; family Hominidae; genus Homo; species Homo sapiens. Next base: position 115,072,259 of record NC_000006.12, read on the forward strand.
GAATAATAATTTTTTCAAATGATAATAACAAGTGTTGGCAAAAATTGGAATCCTTATACACTGCTTGTGAGAATGTAATATGGTGCAGCTGATGGGGACAATTTTAGTGGTTCCACCAGAAGTTAAACACAGAATTGCCAATGACCCTGCAATTCTAGTCTTAGGTATACTGTTTAACCAAAGTAACTTAAAACACATGGGCAAACAAAAACTTGTACAATAATCTTTATATAAGCACAATTAACGATTGCCAAAAGGCCCATCAACAGACAATTGGATACACAAAATATGGTGTATATATATATATATATATATATATATATGTATGTATATATATGTGTGTGTATATATATGTATGTATATATATGTGTGTATATATATGTGTATATATATGTGTGTATATATATGTATATATATGTGTGTATATATATATGTATATATATGTGTGTATATATATGTATATATATATGTATGTGTATATATATGTATGTATATATATATAATGAAATATTATTCAGCTACACAAAGTAATAGAGTATTGATACATGCTACCACAGGGATGAACTTTGAAAACATTAGGTGAATAATCATCTACAGCCATGCTACCTTGAACACACCCAATCTAGTCTAAGTGAAATAATCTAGGCACAAAAGGCACATATTATATAACTTAAATTATATAAAATGTCCAGAATATTAAATATATAGAAATAGAAAGTGGATTAGTGGTTTCATAGGGCTAGGGAAAATAGAGGGCAAGGGAGATAGGTAAAAGGTACAGGATTTCTCTTTTTGGTGATTAAGATACTCTAAAAATGACTGAGATTATGATTGCATATTGAATATACTAAAAATCATTGAATTGTACACTTCAATTCACCTGAATTGTATGGTATGAGAATTATATATCAATAAAGCTTTTTTTTAAATTGATGGTTATATTTATTACAGCTATTTTAGTCATGTGTACCCAAGACCTCTCTGTTCTAATGCTGATGTCTTATTTTATCTTTCTTTATATTCTGATATGAATATGGAAAGTTTGTATGATGTCAGTAATTTTGGTGACTTAGTAGGAATGTGAATTGTGAAGACCTGAGATGAGGATTCAACTCTACTATTACCAACTATGTGTTCTTAGGTAAGCAATGTAATCTCATCTCATACAACAGGGTTGTTGTCATGATCAATAAATAGTGTATAGTAATGGCCATAATGAATAGAGAGCCTATTGTTGGGTGTCTGTTATCTCTTGATAAATAATAAACTAACCAAACACTTAGTGGTTTAAAACACTAACTATTCATTTAATTCACAATGCTGATGGGTGGTTCTTCAGCTCTGGGCTTTGCTCAGCTATGTTAGCCAGGCTTGTTCATGTAACCCTCTGGAGTCAGTTGGAAGATGGGCTGAAGCTGGCTGAACTCAGATGACCCAACTCATAGGTCATCTATGATCAGCCAGATGATGGGGATGACTGGGCCATACATCAGTTACCATCTCTCATGCTAGCTTCTGCTTGGTCACATGATAATAGGGTTCCAAGAATGTGAGAGCAGAAGCTACAACACCTCTTGGGGCTTAGCGCAAGGTAATTTTTATTACATTCTGTTGGTCAAGGAAGATCACTGGGCCAGCTCAGATTCTAAGAATTTGAAAGTTTACTAAATTTCTTGTTAGTATTTGCTGGAAAGCCTTGTAGTCATTTTTTGTATCTACCACACATAGTAGTGGCAGAAGCTCTGGAAGCAAATTTTCCTGAGGCAAATTGGTTTTTTATTGGCATAAGAATTACTTCTTCAGCTCATTTTGTATCCTCAATAACAAAAAATAATAGGAATATCATTTGTATTAAAAACATATATGTGTATGTATGTGGAAGTACTGTGTAAACTACAAAGCATTTCACAACAGAACTACTGCTATTGCTGTTAGGCACCCACTGTGTGTTAATGCCTGTTAATGCTATGTGACAAGATGCCTTGACTTCTAGTGCTAAAATTTAAATAAATATGTATAACTGGAAACCATGTGTTACATATTATACTCTAAATGTTTATCATATTAATTTTGTTATCTCAAAAGTATAAACTGTCTCCAATGGTGAAACATTTAAATGCAATGCAATACAATTTGGGGCATATCCACTGCCTTTAATCACTACAAAGTAGCTTAGAATATGACATCACAAAGCTTGAAATATTGCATAAGGGTCAAAAGATTTAAGTCCTAGTACTAGAACTGTCACTAATTATGGTACACTAGGTCTATGTCTCTGACATATGCCTAAATATATCAATGACAAAATAAAATTTTATCTGGCACAGTACTTGGAAATTTTAGATGGAAGAGAAAGTAACATTACTTGGAATAAAAGCAAGACTAAATGAATTCCAGAAAGCCGTATTCTCAATTTACAGGCAGCAATCTTCAGAAGGTGAGAAGTGAAAAATTTAACCAGACATAATATCCAGAAAAGTCAGACTAGATGACTGCCTCAGGAAAGAAGACATCTGATCTACTACAGAGGAATGTTCTACCAAAGAGATGGGATGTCACTCCTTGATGAGTCCTGTACAGAAAGCAAAATGAACAAACAGAAAACTGCCAGAAATGGAGACTAGAAGAAACAGCAAGACACCTCAGAGGACTTGCTGGTAAAAGTGAGTATGCCTTTAGGATAGTGTGGGAATCAAAATAATGATTCCTGCAATTTCAAATCATGATTTTTTGAGGACTGGGAATTAGTTACCATGCAAAAGCTGCTATGTCATCTTCCTGGAAAAAAGAAAAGAAGAAGAAAAAAGGGAAGGGAAAGGAAGGGAAGACATCTTAAGGAAACATATATAACAGAGTTTGAGGTTAATGAATTTGTGGCAGAAGTAAAAGAAAACTCACACCTAGTGTGACAGGTGTGAGAGGCTATGGTGTGCTGAAGTCCTCACAGCTTGACTGTCATATTATACCCCAGGTTCATGGAGCACCATAAACCTGAGATCGTTTGTACACATTAGAAGAATGCTTGACTACTACAGATTATAAGAGCCCTATATTATCCTTAGGATAGTTGCATAATTTCCTAAAGTATTTGACAACAAATTCTTTGACTTTGCTGCCGGTAATTATAGATGACTTTACCTGGGTACCATTGTTATGTGTGGCTCTATGTAAATACATTTCTTGGTCTTTTCCTGTATAATTGATGTTCTTTAAAATTGTTAATACATAGCAAAAATGATTTTTAATAGTTCTTTTTCTATTTAATTTTTAAAGAAACACAGAATGCTAGTTTCCTTTTTTCTCCTCATTTTCATACAGAAATGTGCTGTAGATTGTTTAATTGCCTGGTTAACAAAGTTGTTGCATGCTGGAGGTTTAATTATTTTGGTTTCACAAATTTCATAATGTGTGTCAATACTGTGGCAAAATACCCTGACTTCTTAATGCCAATGCTTAACAAAATCTATACATAACTAGAAACTCATATATTTATGATTTTTGAGAAAACTATGCTCAAAGGAAATAGCCTATTATCTATGTTGTCCCAAAGGCATTTTACTTTGTTAAATAATATGATTTTTATAACTTTTAAATTTCTTAAAAAAAGAAAATAAGGCTTTTTTCTGTTTTTGTAGTTGAGTCTAATGTATGGACTAACCACAAGAGAAGTAATGCATTCAAGTTTCAATATGAATACTTCATTTATGATATAGCACATATATTATTTATCATATAATATATTAAAAGTATTCCATATGATACTCTTCAGAGTTTGAGCAACATAGAAATCTTCCCAAAATTCTTTTTTGTAATTTAGAAATCTGGTGTTCCAGAGTTTCTTCGTCAATGGAATCTAAATTTATTTTCAGTATTCTAATTAATTATTTTAGTAGTCTTGACTTTGTGACTTAAAATTTTATAGGAAATTGTTATGAGATGACAGAGTATTCAGTTATATTAAAAAATGGTCTTAGGCACTTTTCAGATAAGCAAGGCAATAACAAAAGGCAGTAAACATATTGTAAAATTTTAATTACATTTTTTAAATGGCTGTTTTTTCTCAATGTAGATATAGAAGAATTATTAATATTCATTGCATTTATACATGTGTATTGAAAAGTGTTTGGAAAACCTAAATGTAATATATTCACTTAGTCTCAAAAGGATTGGAATAAACCTTTGTCCCTAAAGGAAGTTCTTAAAAGGAATGATGCTATTTGCACCTGTAACAATAACACTATTTTACACTTATACCCTGAAACAAACAAACAAAAAAACAAAACTGATTGCTTATTTCAGTAAATGTGCAAAATTTTTAATAAAATTATGGAAATTAATAATAAAATATATCTTCTTATATTCTAGGCCCAAATATATTCTATATATATTTATCTCAGAGTGAAACTTCTTCTTTAGTCTTTTCTAGAGTTTACGCTAACATGGGACCTTTTGGGAGGCTATATGTAAATACAAATAGATGTTGTAATACCAAAAAACTTCCACTAGCTCTCAAGATATTGCAAAAGGAATAAGAAATCCTGTCAGTCTCTGGGAGCTTATTCATATTCAAGCTTGCAGGCCCTTGAAGTTGCTCAGGCAACAGATAGTTCTGATCCTGTGTTCTAAGACCTAATATCCTACAATTGCTAGAAGTTTGCACAGAATAAGTTCTAGAGATGAAAGTCCTACCAGCGAAAGACTCTTGCTACTAATTCTTAGTATGACATGAACACATTTCCTTAAGCTCAAAATTTATCCAAAACATTTCATAGCCCATCTCAGAGCCAAAAATCTACTGATAGATATTCAGAAAATTCCTAAGTATAATGAAGAGAAGGTAGGAATGGTAGTCATTGTGTTTTTGTTGTTTTCCCAGGCAGTATCATCTATTTTAACTGGCAAATTAATTTTTTTTCAGAGATCAGAAAATGACATTTTTATCCTGCTATTATATTCTCTTTCCTCAAACTTATCAAAAGAGCAACAGGGAAAAAATGTTAAAAGGCCATAACTCTAATAAAAATCTAGGAATACCATTCTGCCAGGTGCTAGGAAACCTTGTTCAAACAAAGGAGAAAACTGCATGGTGAACAAGGGCCTTCTCTCACTCTATGCTGGAAGCAGTCTTGTCAAAACTTAATATTGGCGTTTAGGAAAGAATATCTCCATTGATTATTTGGCTAGAATGAAAAACATCGAGGTGTGGGTGGGCAAAGGCAGAAGTGGGAGTTTTCCCTCTAATGACTCAGTGTGACAACTCAGAAAAGCAAAAGAAGTAGAGTAGCAAAATCAAAGTGTGCTGTCAAGTTATTCACTTTTCTATAATCTAGCCCCTTAGCCAAAGGGGGTTGCCAGGAGTAAATGTCATAAAAGAAGGCAAGTCAGTGAACACAAAGAAGAGAAACTTCAAATTAAAGCATTTAGCCATAAATGATATGGATACTTGAATCCCATACATTTAGGAGACACTTTCTTCTTAACAAAGGATATGATAGATTTGGTTAACAGGCATCAAATAGAAGTCAACACTTCAGAATACTGATGATCTATCATCTTCCCTTTGCTACCCTGCTTTTCTTCAACAAATACCTTGCACCTTTCAAAAATGAGTAATAATCTGAAAAAAAACTAAGAGAAAAGCTACACTTAGAGATTAGCAATCTTTCCCCCAAAAGAACAAATGGATGCACAAAAACACAAGAACTACATACATCATAAGAATGGCCTAAGGATACCGTAGAATAATGCAATTACATTGTCACAGAATCAAAGAAGTTGGCAATAACATGATATGCCCAGAAAGAGGCTCAAAGAAGAACTTACAAGTTAATGAGGAAGATAGACAGCACAATGGCAAAAGTCAGGAACAGAATAGAAAAAATGGGTGAATAAAACCACTGTCTAAATAAAAAGCACATCAGAAACAACAAAAAATATAGGGGCATAGTTGGTGAAGTGAGATAAAATATAAATAATCAATTTCCTCATGTTCTCAAATAAGTAGTCAATTATATGACATGAATACAGAAATGTGAGTTTATCACTCTTTCATTAAAACATTTTTCAGAATATTTTTCTTACCTTAATAAAGCTAGTGAATTTCTTAATGAAAATTTTAGTTTTTATATTAAGTAAATTAAAGTCAATGCTTTAGGTTAAAAACAGTATGTAGGGGCTTCAAGTTTCTTACATCTTTGGAGAGACGTTGGAAATCCTTGCTCTCATCCTTACAACAAGAAACAGCTGGACAAACAGAAAATCGGTGATTTTTTTAAAGACCGCTGGTGGCCCATTTCTAGAGTCTTAACAAAGGAACACTTTGCCAGAGCACAATTTAGAAACCTTATCCAGTAGTGTAAGTGTAATTCTTTCCCACTCCAGCTCCCTCTAGCCTTCCCTTAAGAGGGGGAAGAAGTCAACAACAGGGCACAGAACTTCAAGGAAATAGATTGGGAACACTGGAGCCAGAGAAGGGAGTGGGCAACAGGAAGAATGTAATACATGTGGAGGAGGGTTGGAAACACTTGTGAAGCCACACCCCAATACGTAGGCCAACTAAAACATTTAATTGGGAGATCACAGAATGTACCCCCTACACCCACCACTGTGCCAAGGGAGCTCCAGTGTAATAGCAGTGAACTATGACTACAAAAACTGAAAGATCTGTAAAGTACAACTCTCTCTGAGTAGCAGCACCAGAGGAAGGAAACACCAAAACACCAAAGCCAAGAGAGGGGAACAAAATGAGAACACTAAAAGAATTTTCAGCCTCTGGTACTGATAGCCGCAAAAGACATTAAATTCAACTAATTCCTATTAATATAAATTGTCACACTAAATGCCTATTTTCTTTGGTTTCTATTCTCCAATATAACATGCTGTTTGTTTTTCAACAAATTTTAGAAAGCTTTGCCAAAAGAGAAGAAAAAAACAGTCTGAAAAATAGGCTTCACATATAACACTAAGTAGGACGGAAATTTTAACAAATTTATTTAAGAGAAGGCAACATTTTAAAAATGTCAGACGAGTATTATTCTTACCATACAGATAAGATATTTCTCTCCATGGAAGGGAAAGGAAAAAGAGATTGAGTCATAAAAGGAATGGCAGATGTTCCTTTCCCAGCACTCCAGTGAGAAAGCAGACAAGTAGGAACTTTCCATTTGGGAGTTTAAAGAGGAAACATGAAGAAAGGGTGTTAAATCATTGTGTCTATAGTTATCTTCAACTTAAAAGTTCTTCAAATATGTTTACATTGCTGCTCTGTTTTAGAAATCAAGTGTGTGGATTTTCAGACTCCAGAACAATGAAGTTGTCTGTGTCTCACTGCCTTTTAAATAGCATATAGTCAAATTGATTTATTCAAATACAATCTACTAATTTCAAAAAATTATAATTATTTTAAATAAATTATGAATTTAAAAATTACAAAAGCAAATTTATGTCACATAAAAAGTCATTATTTTACTTATCTATTTAAAGGTTTTTCAAAATTGAAACAATAACAATACATAATACTAATGTACATTTTTAAAATTTATACAAAATCCCATATCAGACATATAAAAAAACAATTTTAATGTTATCTTTCAGCCTTTGATCACAAGTGTAAATCAGTTTATGGAGTTGAAATGATAGGTTCCATATCACTTGCTTTTCTTCTATTTTAACTAACATATTACTTTAAAAATTTATATAGTCTTCCTTTAATTTTTGAATAGGCTTTATTGACTAGAAGAATAACTTAAACAAGGGACTGAATTGCTCAGGAGGGGGACATTAATTTTAGATAGTAAAAGTAAATGTAATTAACACAGCCGAATTCCAAAGAAACTACTCTAGATTAGTCAAACCTTAGAGAGAGTGAGAACGAAAATGGAATATCCACAGAACAGTGAAATGCTTATCATGGTCTTAACCTCAGGAGGAAAGGAAGCCAAGAACATCTCAGACTCAACAGTTCAGAAAATCAGAATCAAAGCAAGAGTTGCCTTGGTAACGAGAGTCCCACATTCTGGTTACAGGGTTATTGTTGTGACACTGAGAAAAACCACATTTAGGTGAAGTTAATAATAATTACAGGAAAGGGGCCAGGTGTGGTGGCTCACGCCTGTTATCCCAGCATTTTGGGAGGCCTAGGTGGGCGGATCACGAGGTTAGGAGATCAAGACCATCCTGGCTAACATGGTGAAACCTCGTCTCTACTAAAAATACAAAAAATTAGCCAGGCGTGGTGGTGCATGCCTGTAGTCCCAGCTACTCGGGATGCTGAGGCAGGAGAATTGCTTGAACCCAGGAGGCAGAGGTTGCAGTGAGCTGATATATCGCACCACTGCACTCCAGCCTGGGTGATAGACCAAGACTCTGTCTCAAAAATATAAATAAATAAATAAAAATAATTAGAGGTAAGGTCTAGTAGAAAAAGTCTGGAAAGTAATTTGGAAAGCGCTTTGCTTCAGATAAGAAATGATGACTAGAAAGGCAAAATTTTAGTAACATATGAAAGGAATAACTTGAGCCAGCCAGATTCAGGGTGTTTGGGCCCTTCTGACTTGTTGCAGTTTCCTCTCATTCTGGGAAAACCAGAGTAGGGGTACATACATGCATGCACACACACACACACACCCCTACACACATACACACACCCCTACACACATATATACACACACATGCACACACACACACCCCTACATACATATACACACACACATGCCCTACACACATATATACACTCACACCCCCCACACACATATATACACACACACATGCACACACACACACACCCCTAGATACACCCACACACAGACCCGCTACACACATACACACATACCCCTACACACATATATACACTCACACCCCTACACACATACACGCACAGACCCCTTACACACATAAACATCCCTACACACACACACCCCTACACAGGTACACACCCCTACACACATATTTGTTTTTATTAGACAACAATTTAAGCCATATATTATAACATGGTTAAAGGTTTATATTTACTCATGGAAGAAACTAGGCGGATGGAAAAAGGGTAGGAAATAGGTTTATTTGAATATATCTTGCTTCAGAGATTTAACATCGGAATTATAAAAATTTTATAGAAAATTTTAATATGGAAATACACCCAATATAAAATAAATTGTTAAAAGTCAGGAGTAGTTCTCGAGCCTTGGTTTTCAGCTCCATCAGCTCCTTTAAGCACTTCTCTGTATTGGTTATTCTAGTTATACATTCTTCTAAATTTTTTTCAAAGTTATGTGTGTAGGGGTGTGAGTGTATATATGTGTGTAGGGGTATGTGTGTATGTGTGTAGCGGGTCTGTGTGTGGGTGTATGTATGTAGGGGTGTGTGTGTGTGTGTATGTGAGTGTGTATATATGTGTGTAGGGGTGTGAGTGTATATATGTGTGTAGGGTATGTGTGTAGGGGGTGTGTGTGTTTGTATGTATGTAGGGGTGTGTGTGTGTGCATGTGTGTGTGTATATATGTGTGTAGGGGTGTGTGTATGAGTGTAGGGGTTTGTGTGCGTGTGTGCATGCATGTATGTGCCCCTACTCTGTTTTTCCCAGAATGAGAGGAAAATGCAACAAGTCAGAAGGGCCCAAACACCCTGAATCTGGCTGGCTCAAGTTATTCCCTTCATCTACATGAAGAATGCAGAAGCCTCAGGAGCCAATGCGATCAACTGGAAGAAAGGGTATCAGCGATGGAAGATGAAATGAATGAAATGACGCGAGAAGGGAATTTTAAAGAAAAAAGAATAAAAAGAAATGAGCAAAGCCTCCAAGAAATATGGGACGATGGGAAAAGACCAAATCTACGTCTGATTGGTGTACCTGAAAGTGATGAGGAGAATGGAACCAAGTTGGAAAACACTCTGCAGGATATTATCCAGGAGAACTTCCCCCATCTAGCAAGGCAGACCAACATTCAGATTCAGGAAATACAGAGAACGCCACAAAGATACTCCTTGAGAAGAGCAACTCCAAGACACATAATTGTCAGATTCACCAAAGTTGAAATGAAGGAAAAAATGTTAAGGGCAGCCAGAGAGAAAGGTCGGGTTACCCTCAAAGGGAAGCCCATTAGACTAACAGCGGATCTCTCGGCAGAAACTCTACAAGCCAGAAGAGAGTGGGGGCCAATATTCAACATTCTTAAAGAAAAGAATTTTCAACCCAGAATTTCATATCCAGCCAAACTAAGCTTCATAAGTGAAGGAGAAATAAAATACTTTACAGACAAGCAAATGCTGAGAGATTTTGTCACCACCAGGCCTGCCCTAAAAGAGCTCCTGAAGGAAGCAGTAAACATGGAAGGGCACAACCGGTACCAGCCGCTGCAAAATCATGCCAAAATGTAAAGACCGTCGAGACTAGGAAGAAACTGCATCAACTAACGAGCAAAATAACCAGCTAACATCATAATGACAGGATCAGTTTCTCACATAACAATATTAACTTTAAATGTAAATGGACTAAATGCTCCAATTAAAAGACACAGACTGGCAAATTGGATAAAGAGTCAAGACCCATCAGTGTGCTGTATTCAGGAAACCCATCTCACGTGCAGAGACACACATAGGCTCAAAATGAAGGGATGGAGGAAGATCTACCAAGCAAATGGAAAACAAAAAAAGGCAAGTGTTGCAATCCTAGTCTCTGATAAAACAGACTTTAAACCAACAAAGATCAAAAGAGACAAAGAAGGCCATTACATAATGGTAAAGGGATCAATTCGACAAGAAGAACTAACTATCCTAAATATATATGCACCCAATACAGGAGCACCCAGATTCATAAAGCAAGTCCTGAGTGACCTACAAAGAGACTTAGACTCCCACACATTCATAATGGGAGACTTTAACACTCCACTGTCAACATTAGACAGATCAACGAGACAGAAGGTCAACAAGGATACCCAGGAATTGAACTCAGCTCTGCACCAAGCAGACCTAATAGACATCTACAGAACTCTCCACCCCAAATCAACAGAATATACATTTTTTTCAGCACCACACCTATTCCAAAATTGATCACATACTTGGAAGTAAAGCTCTCCTCAGCAAATGTAAAAGAACAGAAATTATAACAAACTATCTCTCAGACCACAGTGCAATCAAACTAGAACTCAGGATTAAGAATCTCACTCAAAACTGCTCCACTACGTGGAAACTGAACAACCTGCTCCTGAATGACTACTGGGTACATAATGAAATGAAGGCAGAAATAAAGAGGTTCTTTGAAACCAACAAGAACAAAGACACAACATACCAGAATCTCTGGGACACATTCAAAGCAGTGTGTACAGGGAAATTTATAGCACTAAATGACCACAAGAGAAAGCAGGAAAGATCCAAAATTGACACCCTAACATCACAATTAAAAGAACTAGAAAAGCAAGAGCAAACACATTCAAACGCTAGCAGAAGGCAAGAAATAACTAAAATCAGAGCAGAACTGAAGGAAATAGAGACACAAAAAACCCTTCAAAAAATTAATGAATCCAGGAGCTGGTTTTTTGAAAGGATCAACAAAATTGATAGACTGCTAGCAAGAGTAATAAGGAAAAAAAGAGAGAAGAATCAAATAGATGCAATAAAAAATGATAAAGGGGATATCACCACCGATCCCACAGAAATACAAACTACCATCAGAGAATACTACAAACACCTATACGCAAATAAACTAGAAAATCTAGAAGAAATGGATAAATTCCTGGACACATACACTCTCCCAAGACTAAACCAGGAAGAAGTTGAATCTCTGAATAGACCAATAACAGGATCTGAAATTGTGGCAATAATCAATAGCTTACCAACCAAAAAGAGTCCAAGACCAGATGGATTCACAGCCGAATTCTTCCAGAGGTACAAGGAGGAACTGGTACCATTCCTTCTGAAACTATTCCAATCAATAGGAAAAGAGGGAATCCTCCCTAACTCATTTTATGAGGCCAGCATCATCCTGATACCAAAGCCGGGCAGAGACACAACCAAAAAAGAGAATTTTAGACCAATATGCTTGATGAACATTGATGCAAAAATCCTCAATAAAATACTGGCAAACCGAATCCAGCAGCACATCAAAAAGCTTATCCACCATGATCAAGTGGGCTTCATCCCTGGGATGCAAGGCTGGTTCAATGTACGCAAATCAATAAATGTAATCCAGCATATAAACAGAACCAAAGACAAAAACCACATGATTATCTCAATAGATGCAGAAAAGGTCTTTGACAAAATTCAACAACCCTTCATGCTAAAAACTCTCAATAAATTAGGCATTGATGGGATGTATTTCAAAATAATAAGAGCTATCTATGACAAACCCACAGCCAATATCATACTGAGTGGGCAAAAACTGGAAGCATTCCCTTTGAAAACTGGCACAAGATAGGGATGCCCTCTCTCACCACTCCTATTCAACATAGTGTTGGAAGTTCTGGCCAGGGCAATTAGGCAGGAGAAGGAAATAAAGGGTATTCAATTAGGAAAAGAGGAAGTCAAATTGTCCCTGTTTGGAGATGACATGATTGCATATCTAGAAAACCCCATTGTCTCAGCCCCAAATCTCCTTAAGCTGATAAGCATCTTCAGCAAAGTCTCAGGATACAAAATCAATGTACAAAAATCACAAGCATTCTTACACACCAACAACAGACAAACAGAGAGCCAAATCATGAGTGAACTCCCATTCACAATTGCTTCAAAGAGAATAAAATACCTAGGAATCCAACTTACAAGGCATGTGAAGGACCTCTTCAAGGAGAACTACAAATCACTGCTCAAGGATATAAAAGAGGATACAAACAAATGGAAGAACATTCCATGCTCATGGGTAGGAAGAATCAATATTGTGAAAGTGGCCATACTGCCCAAGGTAATTTACAGATTCAATGCCATCCCCATCAAGCTACCAATGACTTTCTTCACAGAATTGGGAAAAACTACTTTAAACTTCATATGGAACCAAAAAAGAGCCCGCATCGCCAAGTCAATCCTAAGCCAAAAGAACAAAGCTGGAGGCATCACACTACCTGACTTCAAACTATACTACAAGGCTACAGTAACCAAAACAGCATGGTACTGGTACCAAAACAGAGATATAGATCAATGGAACAGAACAGAGCCCTCAGAAATAATGCCACATATCTACAACTATCTGATCTTTGACAAACCTGAGAAAAACAAGCAATGGGAAAAGGATTCCCTATTTAATAAATGGTGCTGGGAAAACTGGCTAGCCATATGTAGAAAGCTGAAACTGGATCCCTTCCTTACACCTTATACAAAAATCAATTCAAGATGGATTAAAGACTTAAACATTAGACCTAAAACCATAAAAACCCTAGAAGAAAACCTAGGCATTACCATTCAGGACATAGGCATGGGCAAGGACTTCATGTCTAAAACACCAAAAGCAATGGCAACAAAAGACAAAATTGACAAATGGGATCTAATTAAACTAAAGAGCTTCTGCACAGCAAAATAAACTACCATCAGATTGAACAGGCAACCTACAAAATGGGAGAAAATTTTCACAACCTACTCATCTGACAAAGGGCTAATATCCAGAATCTACAATGAACTCAAACAAATTTACAAGAAAAAAACAAACAACCCCATCAAAAAATGGGCGAAGGACATGAACAGACACTTCTCAAAAGTAGACATTTATGCAGCCAAAAAACACATGAAAAAATGCTCACCGTCACTGGCCATCAGAGAAATGCAAATCAAAACCACAATGAGATACCATCTCACACTAGTTAGAATGGCAATCATTAAAAAGTCAGGAAACAACAGGTGTTGGAGAGGATGTGGAGAAATAGGAACACTTTTACACTGTTGTTGGGACTGTAAACTAGTTCAACCATTGTGGAAGTCAGTGTGGCGATTCCTCAGGGATCTAGAACTAGAAATACCATTTGACCCATCCATCCTATTACTGGGTGTATACCCAAAGGACTATAAATCATGCTGCTATAAAGACACATGCACACGTATGTTTATTGTGGCATTATTCACAATAGCAAAGACTTGGAACCAACCCAAATGTCCAACAGTGATAGACTGGATTAAGAAAATGTGGCACATATACACCATGGAATACTATGCAGCCATAAGAAATGATGAGTTCATGTCCTTTGTAGGGACATGGATGAAATTGGAAATCATCATTCTCAGTAAACTATCACAAGAACAAAAAAACCAAACACCACATATTCTCACTTATAGGTGGGAATTGAACAATGAGAACACATGGACACAGGAAGTGGAATATCACACTCTGGGGACTGTTGTGGGTTGGGGGAAGTGGGGAGGGATAGCATTGGGAGATATACCTAATGCTAGATGACGAGTTAGTGGGTGCAGCCCACCAGCATGGCACATGTATACATATGTAACTAACCTGCACGTTGTGCATATGTACCCTAAAACTTAAAGTATAATAATAAATAAATAAATAAATAAATAAAAAGAAAAAAAGTCAGGAATAAAGCAAACATGGTCTTGGGATGAGAGCAAATATCACATTGACGAGAACTGCTTAAAACTTAACTTAATCATGGGAATTTGGGGGTATATGTCTTTAAAAATTACCCCTCCCCAACTCTTTCTTTTTCTGAGACAGGAACTACACATATGGTAGTCCACATGTTATCGTTCCAAAGTTCACTGAGGCTCTGTTCTTTTGTCTAGTCTTTTTTCTGCATATTTCATTTTGGATAGTTTCTATCGCTATGACTTTCACTTACTAATCTTTTCTTATGCAGTGTCTAATCTACTGTTAACCTATGTAGAGTAATTTTACTCTCAGACATTTTAGGTTTTATCTTAGAAGTTCCACTGGGATGGGATGTTTGTTACAATTTTCAACTCCTTTTTTTATCATGGTCTTGCTTTTCTTATAATAGCTGTTTTAATATCATTTTCTATTAAATCTATCATTTGTGTTATTTATGGATCTATGTCTATTGATATATTTTTCTCCTTGTTTTAAATCATGCATTTTTGCTTCTTTGTATCTCTGGTAATCTCTTACTGGATTCCAGACATTGTGAATTTTAAATTACTTGGTCTCAAATTATTTATTATTTCTTCAGTTTTTATTTTCTTTTTTGGATTATTCTTGCAACGTACTTACGTTACTTGGGAAAAGGTTTAATCCTCTTAAAGCTTTCTTTTAAACTATTTTATCAGATTCAAAACAACCTTCTTTGTAGAACTAATATTACCCCTCTCCTAAAGCAATATCTGCTGAAGACTCTACTTGATGCCTCATGTCAGAAGTTCTTTGCACTCGGCATAATGAAAACACAAACTCTTTCCAGCCTAGAGTAAGCTCAAGAAAATTTCTCTTTCTCTTTACCTGTGACTCTTTCCTTTGTTTTTGGCAGATTCCTTCCTTAAACACACATGCTGATCAATATTCAGCTAAAAACTTGAGAAGGATCTTCATCAGATCTCTGACTTTCTCTATGTCCATATATCTCCCTCCTTTCTGGTATTCTATCCCATGAATTGTAGTTATCTTTACATAACAAATTCTGAATGCTGCTTTCTCTACTCAGCAACACTGCCAGGTTCTTTGGGCTCCCATTCCTTGCCCTGCAGTTGAAGTGATAAACTAGAGAGATCACTAGTCTAACTAAGGATCACTGTCCTGAACCACCTGTTAATCATATGTTTTATCTGGTTTTAAAATATTATTTCTTACATGTTGTCTGGGTTTTAGTTGTTTAAGAAGGAAGAATAACATTAGTCCTAGTTATCCCATCATGGTAATCATATTTTATTAATTATATACTTTACAAACAGACATATATACTAACAGACATATATGATAGGATAAAGCAAATAGAACTAAGATCCAAGAGTTTTAGTGTTAAAGAATAGAGATGCAAATATAAAATTAAAGAAATTAAGTAAAAATTCTGTAATTATGAAACTGAATTTAACATATTGGTCTTCATTCTTAAAAATAAGCATATTTTTAGCTCTGTAAAATAAATACCTGAAAAAAGAACAATATCATCATTGTATTAGTTCATTTTAACACTGTTATACATAAATAACCAAGGCTGGGTAATTTATAAAGGAAAGAGGTTTAATTAACTCACATTCTGCATGGCTGGAGAGGCCTCGGGAAATCTACACTCATGGCAAAGGGGGAAGCAGGCACATCTTACATGGCAGCAGGCAAGAAGAAGCATGTGAAAGAGAAACTGTCAGACACTTATAAAACCATCAGATCTCGTGAGAACTCACTCACTATCACAAGAACAGCATAGGGGAACCACCTCCATTATCCAATCACATCTCACCAGGCTCCTCCCTCAATACCTGGGGATTATGGGGATTACAATTTGAAATGAGATTTGGTTGAGGACATAGAGCCAAATCATGTCAATCATGTAATTATGCAGTCCAGAGTTTAGCCTCTACACACCATTCCCTATAAAGGGAAATAAGACTTCTTGGAGAAGAAACTGATTCCAGGTCTGAATGAAGTAATGGAGATAAACATAGACTATATTATCAAAACAGGAAGCAAAAAAGCTTTTAAAATATGTAATTATGGTAAAATAAATCAGGGACCAACTTGAAAAGCTGCCACTGACAAAATGAGACAATTTGAACATTAATATAAATAGTAATTACAATGAATTTAGAAACATTAAAGATGTTGATATCTGTGCGTCCCTATACTCAAAGGAGAAAAACAACATTTGTTCACCAGTTTCAGAAGGTGCTGGACAACTAACTCATGACTGTCAAAATGTTAAATAAACAGAAATAAAAATGTATTCTGCTTTTCCTGTATTATTAGTATCTTAAGATAAATTGTGAGGGAAAGTTTCCTTTCATAGAATCATTTTAGCTAATAAATGGGGAAAGAATGGTAGGATAAAAACATTGCCATTCTACACATACTTAATGAAATTATAGATCTAGATAATGGTTTTCAGCTAACACCAGGGAAAAAAACAGTTAATATCCTCACCATTGTTCAATATATCTATGCAATAAACATGTACATGTATCCCCAAATCTATAAAAATAAAATTAAAAAAAATAAATAAAATGTGAGGCATTTTTACAGCAAGCCAAAACCAAAAATAAAATTAAAAAGTCATCTGCAAACTATTATTTAAAGTGTTCATGTGGGAAAATACATACAGGAAAACAAAACAAAACACTTTCCAAGTAAGATGGGTTTACTTGGTCCTTGATTTTCGTATAAGTGATAGGTAGAACTCTAGCCTAGAACAAGCCGCAATGGTAATTTTTCTATGTGTTTTCCTTTGTGGAGTAAATATGACAATGCATAAATATAACCTTAGGGAGAGAAAGAGGAACATTTCAGAGAGAAGTTTTCAATCAACTTTTCCTCATCAGGTGGTTCAGGATTCTGGATACCTGGGTCTAGTTGCAGAATACTCCAAAGTCTCATTGAAAAATCTCCTTATTTAACCAGTTCTAGGTCAATAAACTACTTGATTTGGACAAGGTCTCCAAGATCTGCATCCTTTTTCCATGCTTCAGAAGGTTGACTAAGTTTCTAGGACACCCCATGTCCACCAGAAGGATCTAGCACAGATGTGATTAGATCACACCAGTCTTGTGTGGCTTTCTAACCAGACAAACCAGATGACAAGTTGATTTGGGCTAGTGATCAACTCTCAATATCTAAGTCTTCAGAGCATAAGTATAGATTGTTGTTTCTCTTCTGGGTGGGCCCTACATAAATGGGTTCACAAGCTTCAGCTAAGCATCTCTGATGACAGTACTACTATCTATCCTTTTGTAAAAGATTATCTCCCTGCTCACAGTCTTGACAAGTCTGAAGTCTACAAAGAAACATTGAGGTTTACTCTATAGAAGTGTTATGAGGTATAGCTTCCAATTCAAAACACTGTTTTGAGTACTGGAAATATGAGGATGAATAATGCAGAGTCCTGTCCTGGAAAAAAAGACATTTTATCTATTGGGGGAGAAGATATGTAGATAAGTAATTTCTCCTAGTGCTAAATTCAATATTTATGTACAGTATAGGAGCACAAAAGAAGGGCACCTAGTACAACCTAGGAAGTTCAGGGACAGTTTCCAGGAAGTTTTTTTTTCCTGAACTGGATCTTTAAGAATATATAAGGGTTGCCAGATGAATACAAGAAAAAAGAAATTTACATGAGAAGGAAATCTACAAGTAACATGGCTTTCAATACCATCTGTGTCCTGACAAGTGCATATTTCCAGTCCAGACCCTTCTTGCAAACTCTAGATGTGTTTATTCCACTGCCTACCCAGCGTATATACTTAGATATTTAATAAATGTCTCAAATTTCACATGTCCAAAACGGAGCTCTTGATTTTGTCTGTTTACTCTCAAATTTTCTTTACCTGAGCTCTTCTCTGCTAGGTTTATGGCAACTCTATTTTCCAATTGCTCGGATCAAAACCCTGTAGTAGGTCTTAACTCCTTTCTTTCCCTTGTATTCTATGCAGCAACTCTGCAGGGCTATATAATTGGAAAACCTAACAAAGAAAGAAAGAAAGAAAACACAGGCAAATATCAGAGAGATCTAAGAATTCCAGGCGCAGCTCCTAGGGGATGTTGTTAATCACACAGGACATGCTTTGTCTTCAGATTGTAAAACATTAAGATACCTGTGAGATACCTTGGTCCCAGAGGAGCCACATCTTGTCTGAAAAGAAATATTTTATAGCCCCATAGTCACATTGCCAAAATTGGGCTGCATGACCAGGCTCAATAGTACAAAATCAAGGGAACATAAAAGAAATCAGGTGCAAATAATCATTTATATATTTTATAAATATTGTTGTCAAGCTGGTACAAGTTACTCCATTCTATCTGAGACTTTAGAAAAGTATATTAATCAACAATTACTACATATCATTTGGATTTGTTCAACAACAAGCACCATGGTTGTTGACATGCCTAAAGATAAGCAAAGAATTGCAATAATCCTGTTGCAAACAACCCTGACCTTTAATCTGTCAGAAAATGTGGGGGGCTCAATTTTTTAAATCATTCAGAATTCCACCTACGTTCACTATCTCCACTGCTATTACCTTGGTCCAAATACCAATATCTCTCTGTCCTGAAGTTTAGCAGTAGCAACCTGACTGGTCTCTCTGATATTACCCTCATTCCCAACAGCCTTAATTTACTCACACAGGAAGTGATCATTTAAAAGTAACAGGCAAACTACCCCTTTGTTCAATAACTCCACTGGATTTTCATTATCCTTTAAATTAAAGCCAGTCCCTGCACTTGTAAGGCCTTGTATGAGCTAACTTCCTTTTACTTCTTTGCCCTCACCACTACCATTGTGCCTTTGCTCACTCTGATTATTCAGTCTCATGGAGTTCTTTGTATCATTGCTATTCCACGAACACACAAGGCACATTCCTACCTTATTACAGATATACTAGCTGGAGCCTCTGCCTGGAATGCTCTTCTAGATAACCACATGGCTAACTATATCACTTCCTTAAAGTTTTTTTTCTTTTTCAAATGATGCCTTCTGTATGAAGCTTGCTCTAAACATCGTATTTAATACTGCAAATTGCCCCAGGACTCTAAATACCCCTTTCTTTATGTATTATTTCCCCACAGCACTTACCACATTCTTACATATTAGATAATTAACTTATGTATTGTTTATTGTCTACTTCCCACTACTACCCAATAAGGTCCATGAAGGCAGGGATCTTAGTCAGTTATAATCAACAGTATATTTCAGTACTGAGATATGCCTGGCATATTGTAGATGCATAGTAAATATTTATTGAATGAAAGGAGGAGTACCATGAAATACTATGCAGCCGTAAAAAAAAGAGTTTATCTCCTTTGCAGGAATATGGATGAAACTGGAAACCATCATTCTCAGCAAATTAACACAGGAACAGAAAACCATAAAATGTCTCGCTCATAAAAGGGAGTTGAACAATGAGAACATATGGACACAGGGAGGGGGAACATCACACACTGGGGCCTGTCGGGGGGTGGGGAGCATGGGGAGGAAGAATGTTAGGACAAATACCTAATGCATGTGGGGCTTAAAACCTAGTTGATGAGTTGATAGGTTCAGCAAACCACCATGGCACATGTATACCCATGTAACAAACCTGCACTTTCAGCACATGTATCTCAGAACTTAAAGTAAAATAAAAAAAGAAAAAGAAAGGAAGAGTAAATGTGTAGAAATGTATGCTATTTTTGTATGAAGTCAGTACTGCAAGGCCACTAAGTATTATGCAAATAAATGTTGTGAGACCAGCAACAGAGGTTAAAAAAAAAAGGTAGGAAAAGGCTATGTCATGATGAATATACGATGCCACATTATGAAGTATGGATTTTGTTTTACAGGTAATGGGAGATCTTCTAAAATGTTTTTAAAAGGGAAGTACATGTTCTGATCTGCATTTTATATAGATCATTCTGATGGCTGTTTGGAGGGAGACATGAGGAGTCAAGAAAGGCCATAAGGTTATGTTAAAGATAATGAGAGCCTGACTTAGAGAAGTGATGATGGAGAGAAGAGGAAGCTTTAGAAGACTATATACTCAATAAGCAGACTATACTCCATAAACATGTTGTCTGATTGAATATAAATAAATGAAGGAGAGAGGACAATCTAAAAAGACTTTAAGGTTTTTAGAATTTTGAATCTAGAAGGATAGTAACTCCAGTAAGATATAAAGTATGAAAAATCAGAAATAGATCTTTTTATTATTATTATACTTTAAGTTCTAGGGTACCTGTGCACAATGTGCAGGTTTGATACATAGGTATATGTGTGACATGTTGTTTTGCTGCACCCATCAACTCATCATTTACATTAGGTATTTCTCCTAATGCTATCCCTCCCTCTCTCCCCCACCCCCTAACAGGCCCCAGTGTGTGATGTTCCCTGCCCTGTGTCCAAGTGATCTCATTGTTCAATTCCCACCTCTGAGTGAGAACAGGTGGTGTTTGGTTTTCTGTCCTTGAGATAGTTCACTGAGAATGATGGTTTCCAGCTTCATCCACCTCCCTGCAAAGGACATGAACTCATCCCTTTTTATGGCTACATAGTATTCCATGGTGTATATATGCCACATTTTCTCAATCCAGTCTATCATTGTTGGACATTTGGGTTGGTTCCAAGTCTTTGCTATTGTGAATAGTGCCGCAATAAACATACGTGTGCATGTGTCTTTATAGTAGCATGATTTATAATCCTTTGGGTATATACCCAGTAATGGGATTGCTGGGTCAAACGGTAATTCTAGTTCTAGATCCTTGAGGAATCACCACACTGTCTTCCACAATGGTTGAACTAATTTACACTCCCACAAACAGTTTAAAAGCATTCCTACAGAAATAGATCTTGAGTGAACAATGATGTGCTCTGTTTGGAGATTTCTTTTGGAAGTTGACCTGATAATATTGTATGAACTACATTATTTGTGGAGTTATATAGACCAGATATGCCAGTTACTAGATGTGTGACTAAGGCAGTTTATTTCCTTTATTGGGTTCTCCTATTTCTCTCATATTTAAAAAAAGGACAACAGATATCTCACAGAACTGTTGTGAATATATAATATGTGCCCAGCACAGTGACAATTAATTATCAGTGTGTGTTTGCCTTTGAGGTTTCTATGAAATACTCTAAGTGGATGTGCCTAGAAGAAATCTGCCTATTTCTATCAGGAATTTAGGATAAAGGAACCTTTATCTGAGTCATTAGAGTAAAGAAATAGATAAAACCTTGAGGATGGATGACATTACAGAGAGACAGAAGGCACCAGCAGAAGAGCAGAAAAAGTGCACAGAATCTTGGGAATTAGAAATTTAGATAGCTTTAGAGTAACAGGAACTCACAAAGAAGACAAATATACAGAGAGAATTAGAAGAAGCTCAACAGTCAAGATGGGTTTGAGTTGCTGTTTTGTTTTTTACTAAATTATGGATTTAACTTCTCACAGTTGAACACATCAATACCCCATGCTGTAGAGCCAAATGTGCAGTCTTCCACCTGGCTCCTATTTCATACAACTCCATGAAGCCCAGCACATTAGCAATAGAGCGAATTGCAATTATAGTACTCTGCCCCATTCCCAGGACACTTTCATTCACAATGGCATTTGTCCTGTGAGATCCCACTTTCCCTACAGTCCTAGAAAAGAACAAGTTAATGGAAATTAATATATTTTGCATTACTCTTTCACTTACTTATAATACTATAAGAACTATTATTAGCACCAGAAAGAGAGCCCACATCCATCTCAATAAGATTTCCTTGATAGAAATAAAAATTCACCATGGGAAATAATAGTCAGAGCCCAGAGTTAGCATTTCAAAAAGGACAAGTGCTTTATGAAAGTCTGGTGGGGATTAAATAAAAGCAATTTAAAGTTTAGGGGGAATAGTCAAAAAAGAAAAGGGCCAGAAAATTGTATGGTGGTGAAGAAAAAAAGTCTGCATGTATTCCCCAGGACAAGATTAAAGATTTGAAAAATCAATGAGATAGTTCAATGTGAAATACCTCAGCTAGTCTACAATCCTGAGAAGCCTACATAGTATAAATCACATCTGTTGTAAACTAGAGGTAGTCCAAAGAGTCAAGTTAAAATTCCATCATACTATATCTGAAAGTAAGATTTGACTGTCACTCTTTTCCTCATTCAAAAATGAGTTTTTTATGTGCTTGAAATTATATTAGACTAGAGCTAATGGTTAAACCAGGGAAGTCCAATGAAAGTGCTCTAGGTGTCTCATTTAGCCTGTAAGGCAGCATAGGGGAATCATTTCAGTCCTATTGACATAGCCTGCCACAACTCAATGTCACCAGTTACCAATACCCTTTTTTTCCTTTCCACACCTGCATGAGTATAATTTAAGCTAGGCTTGTAATTTCCGCAAGATGAAAGAAAGCTATGTCACCTATAATACTCTCCACAAAATCACAATGCAAACTAAAGAAAGTCATAAAAGAACTTGACATTTAAAGAAAAAGACATGTCATAATAAAGTGGCTGCCTAGGAAGCAGCTGGCTATGTAGTGATTTCCATGATTATAGAGTTTCATAAACATGGCATCATTTTTCATCATTAAATACCTGTGGATCTCAAGACTTGATAATTATGTTGACAATTATGGAGTATGTCTTTGTTACTTCTTTGTGGGTATTTCAATAAGTACTTTGCTTTCAATAAGTACTTTTAACATTTTCTGTAGACCTTTCTCTTTCCTACTAATACTATTAAAATAACCAACATATTGCATAGAACTATAGAAGCTTACAAACATGATATAAATTCACAGATGAGCGAAGACTTGTTTTTTTATTCTTGCAAAGTGACTCTCTAGTTAATACTCTAAGACATGTAATATAATGCATACAATTTATACAATAGTTTTCTCAAAGACATATGATCAAATGTGAAATGTAGAAAGCGGGTAAATTCACATGTGAATATGCCTTAATTTGGCTTTCCCAAGGAGCAGATAGTGAGATAAGGACTTGAGTAACAGGAGATTATTTAGAAGGCACAACCTGTCTTCCTAAATACCTTTTAGGCAAATAGACAAGTGACATAAGAAAAATCAGAAAGCCTACTAGAAGTGCATTATCTAACAAGCTGATGCTGTGGAAAACTGGAGCTTAATTTTGCTAGCTAACTCTGGGAAAACACTGTCAAACATGGCCTGAGAGTTATTCCATTTGAAAGGAGAGGAAGATGGGGGATACACCAACTCCTGTTTATACACTAACTTCTGTTAGTCATTGGGTAAGGGCTCCTCCTGGAGTGTGTTAATCATACAACTTTAGTGTGATGCACTTCTGCAGAAAACAGATTTCAACATCCATTGAAAGGGTTCAAGCCAAAAATGAAGATGCTGAAAGATAAAATTCAGACCAGAGTACACCCAGATAGTGAGAGAAAAGGAGATGTGGGCTGGATACTACCAGCATCTGCTATAGAATTAAGGTACAAATTTTACAGCATCATTGTTAATACATTGCATTATTAAAATTATGATTTATCCCATTTATTTATTCAAGCCACAAGCAATTATTGAGCCTTTTTCATATGTGCCAAGCATATTGCTAATAGCTGAGGGTTAAATATTAAAGAGACATTTCATGCTTTCAAGTAGTAGTAAGCACACACATGCAAAGAGAATAGTTATAATAGCAGGTAGTGAATACGACTGCAAAATCAGAAACAATATAATTTGGAAACAAAAAGTAGAGTACTCACTCTTCATTGATGAGTGAAGGCTTCACCTAGATGGTAACATTTAAGCTGAGTTTTGATAATCAGTAAGAATTTGGTGAATAAGAGCAGAGAGAGCTTGTAAGTGTATGTATATTGAAGGTGGTGCAGTAAGAATTCAATGTAGAGAAAATCATTTCCACAAAGGCTCAAGATTATTAACAGTCTGGTATATTTTGGAAAGGTCATTACATTCAGTTTGTCAGGAATACAGGATTTACTGGAGGTAGAGGCACAGGAAAATTAAGGTAAAAAATAGACAGGCATCTGTTTTTTAAGGGCTATGTATGACGAAATAAAGACCATTAAAACAGTTGTTTTTGCTATTGTACTTTTAATTTCTAGTATTTTCATTTGGGTCTTGTATTTTTTTTCTTCAATTTTTAAGTTCAGGGGTACATGTGCAGGGTGTGCAGGTTTGTTACACAGGTAAACATGTGCCCTGGGCAGGGTGAGGTGGCTTACGCCTGTAATCCCAACATTTTGGGAGGCCAAGGTGGGCGGATCACCTAAGGTCGGGAGTTCGAGACCAGCCTGACCAACATGGAGAGACCCTATCTCTACTATGAATACAAAATTAGCCAGGTATGGTAGCACATGCCTGTAATCCCAGCTACTTGGGAGGCTGAGGCAGGAGAATCGCTTGAACCTGGGAGGCAGAGGCTGCAGCGAGCCGAGATCACACCATTGCACCCAAGCCTGGGCAACAAGATCAAAGCTCCATCTAAAAAAAAAAAAAAAAAAAAGCATGTGCCATGATGGTTTGCTGCACAGGTCATTCCATCACCTAGATATTAAGCCCAGCATCCATTAGCTATTTTTCCTGATGATCTTCCTTCCCCCATCACCCCAGACAGGACCCAGTTTGTGATGTTCCCTCCCTGTATCCACATGTTCTCATCGTTCAACTCCCACTTATAAGTGGGAACATGTGATGTTTGGTTTTCTGTTCCTGGGTTAGTTTGCTGAAGATAATGACTTCCAACTCCGTTCACGTCCTGCAGAGGACATTATCTTGTTCCTTTTTGTGGCTGCATAGTATTGCATGCATTTCTTTAGCCAGTCTATCATTGATGGACATTTGAGTTGATTCCATGTCTTTGCTATTGTGAACAGTGCTGCAATGAACATACACATGCATGTATATTTGTAATAGAATGATTTATATTTCTTTGGGTACATACTCAGTAATGGGATTGCTGGGTCAAATGGCATTTCTGCCTCTAGGTCTTTACAATGGTTGAACTAATTTACCCTTCCACAAACACTGTAAAAGTGTTTATTTTTCCCCACAACCTCATCAGTATCTGTTGTTTTTTGACTTTTTAATAGCCATTCTGACTGGCATGAGATGGTATCTCATTGTGGTTTTGATTTGCATTTCTCTAATGATCAGTGACTTTGAGCTTTTTTTCATATGTTTGTTGACAGCATGAGAAGTGTCTGTTCATGTCCTTTGCTCGCTTTTTAATGGATTGTTTTTTTCTTTTAAATTCGTTTAAGTTCCTTATAGACTCTGGATATTAGACCTTTGTCAGATGGATAGATTTCAAAAATTTTCTCCCATTCTGTAGGTTGTCTGTTGACTCTATTGATAATTTCTTTTTCTGTGTAGAAGCTCTTTAGTTTAACTAGATTCTGCTTGTCAATTTTTGCTTTTGTTGAAATTGCTTTTGGCATTTTCATCATGAGATCTTTGCCTGTGCCTGTGTCCTGAATGGTATTGCATAGAGTTTTTTCTAGGATTTTTGTAATTTGGGGTTTTACGTTTAAGTCTTTATTTTAATCCATCTTGAGTTAATTTTTGTATATGGTGTAAGGAAGGGGTCCAGTTTCAATTTTCTGCATATAACTAGCCATTATTGCCAGCACAATTTATTTGCTTGTTTATGTCAAGTTCGTTGAAGATCAGATGGTTGTACGTACAGACTTATTTCTGAGTTTTCTATTCTATTTCATTGGTCTATGTGTCTGTTCTTGTGCCAGTACCATGCTGTTTTGGTTACTGTAGCCATGTAGTATATTTTGAAGTTCAGTGGCAAGATGCTTTCACCTTTGTTCTTTTTGCTTAGGATTGTCTTGGCTATTTGGGTTCCTTTCTGGTTCCATATGAATTTCAAAATAGTTTTTTCTAATTTTGCAAAGAATGCCAATGGTAGTTTAATAGGAATAGCTTGAATCTATAAATTACTTCGGGCAGTATAGCCATCTTCAGGATATTGATTCTTCCTATCTATGGGCATGGAATGTTTTTCCATTTGTTTGTGTCCTCTCTTATTTCCTTGAGCAGTGGTTTGTAGTTCTTCTTGAAGAGGTCCTTCACTTCCCTTTTTAGCTGTATTCCTAGGTATTTTTTTTTTTTTGTAGCAACTGTGAATGGAGGTTCACTCATGATTTGGCTCTCTGCTTACCTGATGTTAGTGTATAGTAATGCTAGCAATATTTGCACATTCATTTTACATTCTGAGACTTCAGTTGCTTATCAGTTGAAGTTGCTTATCAGCTTAAGAAGCTTTGGGGCTGAGACAATAGGGTTTTCTGAATATAGAATCATGTAATCTGCTAACAGAGACAATTTGACTTCCTCTCTTCCTGTTTGAATACATTTTATTTCTTTTCACTTGCCTGATTGCCCTGGTCAGAACTTCCAGTAATACGTTGAATAGGAGAAGTGAGAGAGGGCATCCCTGTCTTGTGCCAGTTTTCAGGGGGAATGCGTCCAGCTTTTGCCGATTCAGTATAACATTGACTGTGGGTTTGTCATGTATGGCTCTTATTATTTTGAGGTATGTTTCTTCAATATCTACTTTATTTAAAATTTTTAAAATGAAGTGATGTTGAATTTTATTGAAGGCATTTTCTGTGTCTGTTGAAATAATCATGTTGTTTTTGTCTTTAGTTCAGTTTATGTGAACATTTTTAGATTTGTGTACATTGAACCAGCTTTGCATCCTGGGGAAGAAGCTGACATGTGGTGGATAAGGTTTTTGATGTGCTGCTGAATTCAGTTTGCCAGTACTTTATTGAGGATTTTTGCATTAATGTTCATCAGGGATATTGGCCTGAAGTTTTTGTTGTTGTTGTTGTTGTTGTATCTCTGCCAGGTTTTGGTATCGGGATGATCCTGGCCTCATAGAACCAGTTAGGGAGGAGTCCCTACTCTTCAATTTTTTGGAATAGTTTTAGTAGAAATGGTGCCAGCCCTTCTTCCTACCTGTGGTAGAATTCAGCTATGAATCCATCTGGTTCTGGGCTCTTTTTGGTTTGTAGGCTATTTATTAGTGCCTCAATTTCAGAACTTGTTATTGGTCTATTCAGGGATTCAATTTCTTCCTGGTTCAGTCTTGGAAGAGTGTCTGTGTCCAGGGATTTGTTCATTTCTTCTATATTTTCTAGTTTATATGCATAGAGATGTTTATAATATTCTCTGATGGTTGCTTATATTTCTGTGGGGTTAGTGGTGATATCCCCCTTATCATTCCTAATTGTGTTTATTTGCCCCTTCTCTCTTTTCTATTAGTCTAGCTAGCAGTCTATTTTATTAAAATTTTCAGAAAAAAACATCTCCCAGATTCATTGATTTTTTGAAGGATTTTTTTGTGTGTGTGCCTCTATCTTCTTCAGTTCAGTTCTGATCTTGGATATTTCTTGTATTCTTCTAGCTTTGGGGTTTGTTTGCTCTTGGTTCTCTGGTTCTTTTAGTCAAGATGTTAGGTTGTTAACTTAAGACCATTCTAGTGTTTTGATATGGGCATTTGGTACTATAAATCTCCCTCCTAACACTGCTTTAGCTGTATTCCAGAAATTCTGGTATGCTCTCTCTTTGTTCTCATTAGTTTCATAGAACTTCTTGATTTCTACCTTAATTTCATTATTTACCTAAGAGTCGTCGTTCAGGAGCAGGTTGTGCAATTTCCATGTAATTGTGTGGTTTTGAGTGAGTTTCTTCATCTTGAGTTCTAATTTGATTGTGCTGTGGTCTGAGAGGATGTATGTTATGACTTCAGTTCTTTTGCATTTGCTGAGAAGTGTTTCAGTTCAGATTATGTGATAAGTTTTAGAGTAAGTGCCATGTGGTGATGAGAAGAATATATTCAGAAGAAGTATATTCTGTTGTTTTGGAGTGGAGAATTCTGTAGATATCTATCAGGTTCCCTTGATCCAGAACTGATTTCAGGTCCTGAATATCTTTGTTAATTTTCTTTCTTGATGATCTGTGTAATATTGTCAGTGGCAAGTTAAAATCTCCCATTATTATTTTATGGGAGTCTAAGTCTCTTTGTAAGTGTCTAAGAACTGGCTTTATGAAACTGGGTGCTCCTGTGTTAAGTGCATATATATTTAGGATATTTAGATCTTCTTGTTGAATTGAACCCTTTACCATTATGTGATGCTCTTCGTCATCTTTTTGGATGTTTTTGGTTTAAAGCTTGTTTTGTCAGAAGCTAGGATTGCAATCCCTACTTTTTCCTGTTTTCCATTTGCTTGGTAAATTTACCTCCATCTCTTTATTCTGAGCCTATGTGTGTCTTCACATGTGAGATGGGTCTCTTGAAGAGAGCATACCAGTAGATCTTGGCTCTTTATCCAGCTTGCTATTTTGTGCCTTTTAATTGGGGCATTTACATTTAAGGTTAGTATTTACATTTAAGGTTAATATTGTTATGTGTGGACTTGATCCTGTCATTATGATGCTAACTGGTTTTTTTGCAGGCTTGTTTATGTGGTTGCTTCATAGTGTCACTGGTCTGTGTACTTCAGTGTGTTTTTATAGTGGCTAGTAATAGTTTTTCCTTTAACAGTTTTTCCTTCCAGGAGCTCTTGCAAGCCAGGCCTAGTGGTGACAATTTCCCTCAGTATTTGCTTGTGTGAATAGGATCTTATTTCTCCTTTGCTTATGAAGCTTAGTTTGGTTGGATATGAAATTCCGGGGTGGAAATTCTTTCCTTCAAGAATGCTGAGTATTAGCCCCCAGTCTCTTTTGGCTTATAGGGTTGGGTCCACTATTAATCTGATTGGGTTTCCCTTTGTAGGTGATTTGGCCTGTCTCTCCGGTTGCCCTTAACATTTTTTTTTTTTTTTTTTGAGACATAGTCTCCCTCTGTTGCCCAGGCTGGAGTGCAGTGGACTGATCTCAGCTCACCACAACCTCTGCCTCCTGGGTTCAAGTTCAATCAATTCTCCTGCCTCAGCCTCCTGAGTAGCTGGGACTACAGGTGTGCACCACCATGCCCGGGTAATTTTTGTATTTTTTAGTAGAGATGGGGTTTCACTATGTTGGCCAGGCTGGTCTCGAACTCCTGACCTTATGATCCGCCTGCCTTGGCCTCCCAAAGTGCTGGGATTACAGGCGTGAACCACCATGCCAAGGTGCCCTGAACATTTTTTCTTACATTTCAACCTTGGAGAATCTGATGATTATGTGTCTTGGGGTTGATCTTCCCAGTGATCATCTCACTGGGGTTCTCTGCATTTCCTGAATTTGAATCTTGGCTTGTCTTTCTAGGTTGGGGAAGTTCTCCTAGATGATATCCTGAAGTACATTTTTCAACTTGGTTCCATTCTCCCCATCTCTTTCAAAGAACCCCAAATATTTGTAGGTTCAGTTTCTACATAATCCCATAATTCTTGGAGGTTTTATTCATTACTTTTCATTCATTTTTCTCTATTCTTGTCTGCCTGTCTTATTTCAGAAAGATAGTCTTCAAGTCTTCAAGCTCCGAGATTGTATTAGGGTTCTCTTAGAGGGACAGAAATAATAGGAGATATATATATATAATATATATATATATAAAATATATATATGTATAACATGTTAATAAACTCCCCTTCACATATATATCTCCCCTTCACATATGTGTGTGTATATATATATACACACACACATATGTGAAGGGGAGTTTATTATTAATTTATGTGATCACAATGTCCCACAATAGGCTGTCTGCAAGCTGAGGAGCAAGGAGAGCCAGTCCGATTCCCAAAACTGAAGAAGTTGGAGTCCGATGTTCGAGGGCAGAAAGCATCCAGCATGGGAGAAAGATGTAGATTGGGAGGCTAGGCCCATCTCTCATTTTCATGTTTTTCTAGCTGCTTTATATGCCTTGGAAGCTGATTAGACTGTGCCCACCAGATTAAGGGTGGATCTGCCTTTCCCAGCCCACCGACTCAAATGTTAATCTCTTTTGGCAACACCCATGCAGACACACCCAGGATTAATACTCTGTATCCCTCAATCCAATCAAGTTGACACTCCGTATTAACCATCACAGAGATTCCTCCACTTGGTCTATTCTGCTACTGATAGTCGTGATTGCATTGTGAAGTTCTTGTGTTTGTTTCTCAGCTCTATTAGGCCAGTTATGTTCCTCTCTAAACTGGTTATTTTGGCTGTCAGCTTCTGTGTGGTTTTATCATGTTTCTTAGCTTCTTTGGTTGGGTTAGACATGCTCCTTCAGCTCAGCAAAGTTCATTATTACCCACCTTCTGAAGCATACTTCTGTCAACTTGGCCATCTCATCCTCAGCCCAATTCTTTGCCCTTACTGGAGAAGTGTGGCAGTCATTTGGAGGAGAAGAGGTGCTCTGGCTTTTGAGTTTTCAGCATTTCTGCATTGATTCTTTCTCATCTTTGTGGGCTTACCTACCTTCAGTCTTTGAGGTTACTGACCTCTGAATGAGATTTTTGTGGGGTCTTTTATTTGTTGATGTTCTTGTTATTGTTTTCTGTTTGTCTTTTTTTTTTTTTTTTTTTAACAGTAACGCTACTCTACTGTAGAGCTGATGTGGTTTGCTGGGGGTCTGCTCCAGACCCTGGTTGCCTCAGTTTCTCTCCAACCTGGAGATATCCCCATTGAAGGCCACAAAGCAGCTTCTATCCCTAAATCTGAAATAAGAGTTGAAATTATTAACAATAACAATAAAAAGGATAAGACATTGGTTTGAAAAGAACCCCTATCAAAGCAACATGAATTCTGCTAAAAATGAAACAAGAACAAACATCAAATTGATGGTGAAACTTGGGTGGAAGAATGGCTAAATAATTGATGCTTTACAAAAAGTTTACAGGGATAATGCTCCAAAGAAATCAGTAGTTCACAAATAAATAATCATTTTAAGAATGGACCAAACAGTGTTGAAAACAAAGCCTGCAGTGGGCAGACCATCCACATTAATTTGCATGAAAAAAATTCATCTTGTTCATGCCCTAATTGAAGAGGGCTGACAAAGTACAGCAGAAACAATAGCCAACACCATAGACACCTCAACTGTTTCAGTGCACGCAGTTCTGACTGAAAAATTAAAGTTGAGCAAACTTTTCACATGATAGATGCCAAAACCATTGCACACAGATCAGCTGCAGAAAAAAGCAGAGCTTTCAATGGAAATTTTAAACAAGTGGGATCAAGATCCCAAATCATTTCTGTGAAGAATTGTAATAGGAAATTAAACATGACTTTACCAGTATGATCTTGAAGACAAAGCACCGTTGAAGCAATGGCTACCAAGACGTGGTAGTAGTCCAGTCAAAACAAAAACAGACCAGTCAAAAGCAAAGGTTATGGATACAGTTTTCTGAGATACTAAAAAAATTTTGTTTGTTGACTTTCTGGAGGACCAAAAAATGATATGTCTGCTTATCATGAGAACGTCTTAAGAAAGCTTTAGCAGAAAAATGTTGCCAGGAAATCATCAGAGAGTACTCCACGACAGCAATGCTTCTGTTCATTATTTTTATCAAACAAGGGCAATTTTGTGAGAGTTTTGATGGAAAATCATTAGGCATCCACCTTACAGTTCTAATTTGGCTTCTTCTGACTTTTTTTTGTTACTTAATCTTAAAAATTTTTTAAAGGGCACCCATTATTTTTCTTCAGTTAGTAATATGAAAATGACTACATCGACATGGTTAAGTTCTCAGGACTTTTAGTTCTTTAGGAATGGACTAAATGGCTGGTATTAGTTCTCATAAAAGTATCTTGAATTGATGGAGTTTATGTTGGGAAATGGAGTTTATATTTTTTACTTTCATATTTGAATTCTATTTTTTATCTCTTTTTATGAACTTTTCAAAATGCCTTGATAGCTGCTCTTGCCACAGGGGGGAAAATGGGTAATTACATAAGATTATAAATATGTTAATTTGTTTCACTATAGTAACCATCTTACTATATATGTATCTCATAATATCATGATGTATACCTTACATATAGACAATAAAATTTCTCTTAAAACTAATAATACATTAAATATAAGTGAACTATACAACTCAATCAAAATGCAGAGATTGCCAGACTGGATTAAAAAATTCAACTGTATACTATTTATAAGTATTATAAATTAAATTCAAAGATACAAACAGATTATAGGTAAAAGGATGGAAAAATATGTTATACAAACAGCAATGATAAGAAATTTGAAGTGGCCATACTAACATCAGACAAAATTTAAACAACAAACTATTATCAGAGATAAAGAGAAGCCTTTCATAATAATAAAAAGGTCAATTCATCAGAAAGATATGCCAGTTATTAATATATGTGCATAGTTGTTTTATCCATATTGAAATTTGGGATTTAAAGTCTCCAACTATTATGGTAGAACTTTCTATTTCTCCCTTCATTTCTGTCAGCTTTTGCTACAAGTATTTTCATAGCTGGGAGACTGGAAAAATGCTATACACCAAGTAGACCTAACAGCTATCTATAGAACACTCCATTCAAGAGTAGAATATATATTCTTTTCAAGTGCACATGGACTATCTACCACGATACACTATAGATTAGGTCATAAAACAAACCTGAACAAACTTAAGAGGATAGACATAATACAAAGTATGTTCTTCAACTACAATGAAGTGAAATTATAAATCAATAACAGAAAGAAATATGAGAATCTCCCAAGTATGTGGAAAATTAAATAGCACACTCTTAAACGTCCAATGAGCTAAAGGGAAAATCAAAAAGGAAATTACAAAATATTTTGAGGTGAATGAAAATGAAGAAAAAACATACCAAAACTTATAGGATACAGCTAAATCTATACCAATTATAATAATTATGCCCATAGTAATTATAAATATATCCACATTAAGAAAAAAGATAACAAATAATCCATTTTTCTGCTTAAGACATTGGAAAAAGAAGAACAACCTAAATCTAAAGCAATCAAAAAGAAAGAAATAATAAAGATTAGAACCAAAATTAATAAAATAAAGACTAAACAACAGAGTAAAAAAATCATTGTTATCAAAGCTGGTTATTTGAAAAGACTAACAAAATTTAAAATTATTTTGATAAATTGACCAATTAAAAAAAGAAGAGATCCAAATTACTGAAAACAGAAAAGAAAAAGGAAACATTACAACTGACATTTCAAAAATAAAAGAGAATATAAAGGAATACTATGAAAATTATGTCAATAAATTAGAAAATTTTGATGAAATAGATTAATGACCAGAAAAGCACAAATTCCTGAACTGACTCAAGAAGAAATTAGACAATCTGCATATACCGACAAGTGAGTTAGTAATCAAAATAACTATACACACACACAAAAAGCTCAGGATAAGGCC
Source organism: Homo sapiens (assembly GCF_000001405.40). Taxonomy (NCBI): domain Eukaryota; kingdom Metazoa; phylum Chordata; class Mammalia; order Primates; family Hominidae; genus Homo; species Homo sapiens. The sequence goes on from NC_000006.12 coordinate 115,106,139, forward strand.
ACTTCACTGGTAAATTATATTAAACATTTAAAGAAAAATTGAGACTGGCCCAGCCCAGTGGCTCATATCTGTAATCCCAGCATGTTGTGAGGCCAAGGTGGGAAGATTGCTTGAATCTAGGAGTCTGATGCTAGCCTGGGCAACATAATGCAACCTCATTTCTATGAAAAATATAAAAAATATAGCCAGGTGTGGTGGCACACGCCTACAGTCTCAGCTACTCAGGAGGCCAAGGTAGGAAGATCCCTTGGGTCCAGGAGTTCAAAGTTGCAATGAACTGTGCCACTGCACTCCAGCCTGGGTGACAGAGACAGATCTTGTCTCAGGATAAAAAAATAAAATAAAATAAAAAGAAAAAACTAATGCCACTTCTTCACAGACTCTAGCAAAAAACAGAAGAGGAAAGAACACCTCTCAATTTTATTCTATAAACCTAGTAATAGTTACCAAAACCAGACAAAGCTATCACAGGAAAACTACAGAACAATATCTTCTATGAATATAAACACAAAATCACTACAAAACACTAGCAACCTGATACTAAAAATATATAAAATAAGTAAATACCATAATAAAGTGGGTTTTATCCCAGTAATAAAAGGTTGTTTTAACATTTAAAAATCAGTTAATATAAGACATCTATATTAGTCCGTTTTCACACTGCTGATAAAGACATACACAAAACTGGACAACGTGCCGAAGAAAGAGGTTTAATGGACTCACAGTTCCATGTGGCTGGGGAGGCCTCACAATCATGGCAGAAGGCAAGAAGGAGCAAGTCATGTCCTATATGGAGGGTAGCAGGCAAAGAGAGAGCTTGTGCAGGGAAACTCCCCCTTATAAAGCCATCAGATCTCATGAGACTTATTCACTATCACGAGAACAGCTCAGGAAAGACCTGCCCCCATGATTCAATTACTTCCCCCTATGTCCTTCCCACAACATGTGGGAATTGTGGGGGTTACAATTCAAGATAAGACTTGGGTGAGGACACAGCCAAAGCATATCAACATCATAGAAATAGAATTAAAAATTATATGATTTTATCAATAAATACAGAAAAAGCATCTAAATCTTTATGTCTCATAAATGGCATGATCTTTTATATAAAGAATCTTAAGGAGTTCATTACAAGTTACTGGGATAAATGAATGAGTTCAGTAAGGTTTTAGGATATAAGACCCAGGAATAAAAATTAATTGTAGTCCTATAAACTTGTAATTAATAATCTGAAAATTAGATTAAGAACATTTTATTTACCATAGCATTAAATAATACTTAGAAATAAAGTTAACAAAAGAAGTGCAATAATTTTATTATAAAAACCACGAATTATTGTTGAAAGTAATTAAAAAAGATATAATAAATTGTTCAAAATCTCATGTTCATGGATCAGAAGACTTAATATTGTTAAGATGGCAGTGTTTTCCCAGATTTACCTATAGATTGAATGTAATCCCTATCAGAATCCCAGTTGACTTTGTTTTAGAAATTGATACTCTGATTCTAACATGTATATGTAATTGGAAGGAACCCAGAGTAACCAAGGAAATCTTGAAAAAGTTTGAAGTAATAGTAAGAAGAGTTTTCTTGAATCTAGGAGTTTGAGACCAGCCTGGGCAACATAGTGCAACCCCATTTCTACAAAAAATAAAAAAAATTAGTCAGGCATGGTGGCACATGCCTATAGTCCCAGCTACTCAGGAGGCCAACGTAGGAAGATCTCTTGGGTCCAGGAGTTCAAGGTTGCAATGAACCATGACTGTGCCACTGTTGAAGAAATTACGCTTCCTATTTTCACAACCTAGTACAAAACAACGGTAGTCAAGACAATCTTACTGATATAAAGATAGATATAGAGAACAATGGGATAAAATTGAGAATCCAGGAACAAAACCATGTGTGTATGACCAACTTATTTTCAACAAGAGTGCCAAGACTACTAAATGAGGGAAGTAATAGTCTGTCTTTTCAACAAACGGTGGTGGGACAACTGGATAGCATATGCAAAACAGTGAAGTGAGACTCTTACTAATATAATATACAATAATTAACACAAAATTGATAAAACACCTACAGTTAAGAGCTATAATTAGAAAATTATTTGAAAAAATTTGGGGGGTAAATCTTCATGGCCTAGTATTTGGTGATCATTTCTTAGATATGACATCAAAAATTCAAGACTAAAGAAAAAATAGACAAATAGTACTCTATCAAAATTTAAAACATTTGTGCATCAAAGTACACTGTCAAAAAATGAAAAGAATACACAGAGAATCAGATAAAGTATTTCCAAATCATATATCTAATAAGGGTTTTATGTTAGAATATGTAATAACTCTAAAAACTCAAGAATAAAAAGACAAGTAATTCAATATATAAATGGGCCAAGGATCCACATAGATAATACTCCAAGGGAAGTATACAAATCACCAATATACACTTGAAAAGATGCTTAATATTATTAGCGATAATGAAGATACAATTCAAAACCACAATTAGATACCACTTCATACTCATTAGGATGGCCAGAATTTTTTATAAAGGAAAATAATAAATGTCATCAACGATGCAGAGAAATTAGAATTCTCATAAATTACTGATGGGAATGTAAAATGATGCAGTCTCTGTTGTAAACAGTTTGGGAGTTCACACTAAAAAAAACATAGAATTACTATATGAAGCAATTCTCCTTGTTCTACACACAAAAGAACTGAAAACAGGCATTGAAGCAAAAACAGACATGAGAATGTTTACAGTAGCAGTATTGACAAAAGTCAAAAGGTAGGAACAATCAAAATGCCCATCAACTGATCAACAGACAAACAAAATGTGCTATAATTATACAATGGAATCTTATTTGGCAATAAAAAGGCATGAAGTACTAATACATGCCATGGCACGGATGAGCCTTGAAACCTAAGTGAAAACATAGTCACAAAAAAAAAACATATTTTGTGATTCTGTTAATATTAAATGTCTAGAACTGGAGAATATATAAGGACAAAAAGTAGATTAGGTTTGATTATGGATGGAGGGTGATGTGGTGATAGGGGGTGAAAGCTAACAGGTATAGAGTTCCTTGTTTGATGTGACAAAAAAAGGTTCTATAATTGATTGTGGCGATGGTTGTACCTAAAAGTGAATAGGCTAAAACCCACTGAATTTGTACACTTGAAATGGGTGAATTGTAGATGTATCTTCAAAATTGTTTCAAAAAAAGAGAAAAATATAATGAAATTTATTGCCTGTAAAGAACAGATAGTAGCAGTGGGGGAAAGGGATGCAGGGAATTACTCTTTGTTTCTTTGCTTTGTTTATGAGTCTTATAGTACTGTTTGATGTTACTAATTAGGTACCTGTAGTACTTTACTAAAAATAAGAGTAAAAAATAACATATAATAAAAACTCTTATTTTTTATTAACAATTAAATTAAGAGAAGCAAAAGCAAATATATGCAGGAAGAACACTGTCACCATTCCACCATTTTTTATCTACTTTTGGGGCTAAATTTTGAATTCAGCATTTTTTTGTATTTTAAAAAGGCATTATGGCATACATATTACCCCATCATGTCAGAGATAGTGCTATACAACCAAACATATTAGTATTTCTGCTTCCAGATATAGGAATATTTACACTAAATGCAATAGAGACTAAAAAAAAAAAACTTTATTATAGCTAAGGTTCAACTTTTGCCACCAAATAAATTCAGGTCAGTTTTTCTATCAAATAATTTAGGAAAAAGCAACAACATGACACTTTCTTTCTTTTTTTTTTTTTTAACGGATTCTGAATTAAAGATGAGTGTTTGTAGTTTTGTAATCCAACATTATCAAATTATATTTCATTTTACCTCATTTTAACATGTAACAAATGCAGGTTTTACATCAATTAGTGGCTTTAGCTTGTTGTAACTATTGTTATTGTTAGAATTTGTTACAAATGAAGCAGATTCCCTGGTAATTTTTATACAGAAAGGCCAAGGAATTCAATTTAATCTAGAATCATACCAATCAAGATGAACTATTTTATGTGGGCTTCCTGTGTTACTGCACAAGCTGGCAGAAATAAAAATTATATTTAAACTGAATACTGCTAATATTCAAATACATTCACCATGTTATATAGTTCCAAAGTAGTTTATTTTCCATTATTAAAGCTCTCTAACTTTATTTTCTCACTTTCTTAAAATAAAATGTGCCCACAATAAAAACCTTTTGGATTTGCTTTTAACTTGATTTCTTCAGTTCTCTACTATTTCCCTTCCATATACAATTATTTTCATCTAGTTGCCAAAATGCATCTTGATCCTTCCTAAGTCATTTTTCTTTAAAACTTCCCATCAAATTGATGGGGATCTTCTCTCTTTTGCCTTTTATATTTTTTATCCAAGCTTTCCTTCTGAGGAAGTAAAATTTGTTTGGACCTATGGAAGATTTTGGACATAATCTGAGGAATTGAAGTAAGATCAAGACACATTTTTAACACGGAGGTTGGCATTGTGCGGAAAATCATGATTTATACAATTTAGAGAAGTTAGTCGTGTGTGTAAAGCTATATGGACTAGGAACCTCAAATTCTTAGCCTAAGTTCCATGATGATTTGCTGCCTTTTCCCCCAGATGCTTGAACCATCTAGGAAGGATACTTCCTAAAGTGCCCTACTGAGGCAAAGCCATTCATCAAAGAAGACAACCTTGACATGGATACTAGCAGAAGTAGTATTAGTTTTCCTATTGGGATTGTAAAACTTTAGTTATATTAAAAAAAATAAGTGTTCCTTGTGAGTGAGATTAGTCCTTTACTCTTTTCAGGGGCCTTATAAACTTTGGTGACTGATTATGCTCCAAAAGTAGAAAAGGAATGGGATGGATTTAAATTCCCAAACATAATGTTAGGAGATCCAAATAGTAATTCAATACCATAAATTCTCCTTTGTAATATTTTACCTACAAAGGGGAGTATTTGTTTATTTATTTAAAAAAATCACAAAGGTCAGTTTTTTTGCATGGCAAAACTTAAAATACTCCAAGATTCTGAAGATGTGCCTCTAATTTTGTTCGTGACACTGTGACTGAAGGAACAAGAGACTTAGAGGCAGTTTTTCTAGAACATGATTCTTAATTCAAACTGTGGTGTGAATTTGACTCTGTAGTTTCTTTGTGTTAAGTAAACTTATAATTGATTAAAATGTATTGATTTAAGGAAATTGAGCAGAAATGACAATGATTGAGTTTGAATATAACAATCCTATCAGACAGCTAAATAAGATTGGTTATTTTCCACATTACATAAGCTGTGTTTGTATCTTGTCTATCTTATCATTATTTGCCTTCGCTCTCACTGTCAGAAAGTTTGCTATCATTTTTTATCCCTCCATATTTTTATCAGTTTCACCTATCTTCAGAATCCTTCCACATTTTTAGAAACCTTTCATATTTGTTAAAGCACCACTATTTAAATGTTGCTTTTGATAAATTAAAAATGAAGGGAAATAAAATTAAAACTAGATTTTATTTCATTTTAAATTAAGCAAAAATAAGGAAATCATCCTACCAAGGAAATAAAAGAAATTGTCCTATCAGGTATTATGATTTATGGTAATGAATAGAGTGCAATATAGAAATAAGAGTAGGAATAGACAAATTGACAATAAAACAATATAGAAAGCTCAGAACAGATGCATGTGCATGCATGGTATCGTTACATAATTGATGTGGTATGGCAAAACTCTGATGAGAAGAGAGATTCTTGTTTATTCATATTCAAAAAATAGTTGTTTTCCTATGAAATGCCATATCCCAAAACGATTTCAGATTGACAAAAGATAATTTTCTAAAGTTAGAATAATACATAGAAAAATATCTTTAAAATCTTGATCCTCCGAAATAATGCCTAAAGAAGCCATTTAAATTTCTGCAATTAAAAAAAGTTATAGATAAATTTGTCTGCGTGGAAATTAAGTACTTCTGTTCATCAGATAACAAAAGGAGAATCAAAAGACAAGCTACAGAGTGGAAACATATTAATAAAATATACTACTGATAAATAATTAATGTTCAGTATGTATAAACAATTTCTAAAAATCAGTAAAAAAATACAAAAAAATGAGACAAAAGAGATAAGTGGGTTTTTTTTTCAGATAGAGAAATAGCAATGACCAATAAACATATGAGTATGTACAACTTTATTGATAATCAGATAAATGCAACTTGACATCAGAACAAGATAACACTTTATATCCACTCGGATGTACAAAAATTGTGAGAATAAATCAAGTTCCATGAACAAATAGTTCCTAGAACATAGCAGAACTCAATTGTTAATGTTGAGCAAATGAATAAATAAGAACTCTCATACAGTTTATATGAGAGTATATACAGCTATGACTGTTTTTGAAAATAATTTGAAATTAAATAGTGAAGTTGAATATTATATACCCTATGGCCCAATGACCCAAGAATTTTATGTCTCTGCCTGTATGTGTGTGTGTCCTGTGTAGATGTACCAAGCAACATGTATGAAATTGTTGTTGGCATTATATTAGCATTACAAACAGACTAAAAAAATCAAATTTTTGTTAATGGGACATTGTATAAACCATTGAATTATATATTTATTAGGGTATAATTACCAAAAGAAATGTAGCGGTCAAAATAAAGGTACTGCAACTACATGGAAAAACGTTAATGTAACATTGAAATATATCATTGAAAAGAAAGCAAATTGTGGAAGTCTGCTTATACTCTGATTCTATTTTGATGAAAGTCAAAATCATGCAAAATGAATAAATGTTGTCTTGTAATATATGCGTCAGGAAAAAAAGCTTGTAGGAAATCAGTGAATTATAAGACAACTTAGGATGCTAGTTTTCAGTGTTGGTAGAGGCTGTGAGGAGATGGAGGAAGCCCAGAGGTAGATTCGTTAGTATCAATAATATCTAAGTTCTAATAAGAACACATGGACACAGGAAGGGGAACATCACACACTGGGGCCTGTTGTGGGGTGGGGGGAGGGGGAAGGGATAGCATTAGGAGATATACCTAATGTTAAATGACTAGTTAATGGGTGCAGCACACCAACATGGCACATGTATACATATGTAACAAACCTGCACGTGCACAAGTACCCTAAAACTTAAAGTATAATAAAAATAAAAGCAGCTACCAATATCTAATTATGAAAATAATAATAATAATATCTAAGTTCTTAAATTGGAACATGGGTGTTCACTTTTTTATGTTCATAATTGCATATCATGCATATATTGCTTACTGTGAACAAAATATAACATAATAAAATGATTTAATACATGGGGAGCTCTTAGGACTATGGCATTTACTTAATGTGTGATAATTTTGTTATTGGGTATTAAAAGCATGTTGATATTTTATTTATATTTCTCCTAAAATAATGAATCTACAATGAATCTATATGTATTTAGAGTTTTCTAATGTATTTAATTTCTATAAATTCATGTGTTTTGCGCTACCTGACTTCAAACTATACTACAAGGCTACAGTAACCAAAACAGCATGGTACTGGTACCAAAACAGAGATATAGATCAATGGAACAGAACAGAGCCCTCAGAAATAATGCCACATATCTACAACTATCTGATATTTGACAAACCTGACAAAAACAAGCAATGGGGAAAGGATTCCCTATTTAATAAATGGTGCTGGGAAAACTGGCTAGCCATATGTAGAAAGCTGAAACTGGATCCCTTCCTTACACCTTATACAAAAATTAATTCAAGATGGATTAAAGACTTAAATGTTAGACCTAAAACCATAAAAACCCTAGAAGAAAACCTAGGCATTATCATTCAGGACATAGGCATGGGCAAGGACTTCATGTCTAAAGCACCAAAAGCAATGGCAACAAAAGCCAAAATTGACAAATGGGATCTAATTAAGCTAAAGAGCTTCTGCACAGCAAAGGAAACTACCATCAGAGTGAACAGGCAACACACAAAATGGGAGAAAATTTTTGCAACCTACTCATCTGACAAAGGGCTAATATCCAGAATCTACAATGAACTCAAACAAATTTACAAGAAAAAAACAAACAACTCCATCAAAAAGTGGGCGAAGGACATGAACAGACACTTCTCAAAAGAAGACATTTATGCAGCCAAAAAACACATGAAAAAATGCTCATCATCATTGGCCATCAGAGAAATGCAAATCAAAATCACAATGAGATACCATCTCACACCAGTTAGAATGGCAATCATTACAAAGTCAGGAAACAACAGGTGCTGGAGAGGATGTGGAGAAATAGGAACATTTTACTCTTTTGGTGGGACTGTAAACTAGTGCAACCATTGTGGAAGTCAGTGTGGCGATTCCTCAGGGATCTAGAACTAGAAATACCATTTGACCCAGCCATCCCATTACTGGGTATATACCCAAAGGATTATAAATCATGCTGCTATAAAGACACATGCACACGTATGTTTATTGCAGCACTATTCACAATAGCAAAGACTTGGAACCAACCCAAATGTCCAACAATGATAGACTGGATTAAGAAAATGTGGCACATATACACCATGGAATACTATGCAGCCATAAAAAATGATGAGCTCATGTCCTTTGTAGGGACATGGATGAAATTGGAAATCATCATTCTCAGTAAACTATCACAAGGACAAAAAACCAAACACCGCATATTCTCACTCATAGGTGGAAATTGAACAGTGAGAACACATGGACACAGGAAGGAGAACATCACACTCTGGGGACTGTTGTGGGGTGTGGTGGTGGGGAGGGATAGCATTAGGAGATATACCTAATGCTAAATGATGAGTTAATGGGTGCAGCACACCAGCATGGCACACATATACATATGTAACTAACCTGCACATTGTGCACATGTACCCTAAAACTTAAAGTATAATAATAATAAAATAATAAATAAATAAATAAATAAATAAATTCATGTGTTTTGGGTTTTTTGTTTTTGCTAGCTCACCAATGTTTGTTGACAATGACTAATATTCATATGCTTGGAAAATGCTTGAGAATATATCTACATTGATTTGTAACTTAGACTATCATATAAAAATATAATAGTATCAATATTTTTTCAAATGAGTGCAAAATTTTATTTATAAGAATGAGTTGTTCAAGTTACAGTCTACTCACTTTTACTATTTATTTTCTTTTTAAAAATGAAAGATAGACTTAAACGCATTTAAAACCTTGTCATTTAAATTTTAATATTGTTTCCATAATACATTTTGGTCTCATGATTAATTCATTCAACAAATAAATGTGAAAACACATAAAAAGGAAAATAATATTAGAAAAATTTTGGAGCATATAATCAATGCATTGAATGTAGGTTCATTTCATTAAAATGTAACTCAGCACACATGTGTAATAGTTTCATTGCTTTTGATATTTTGCCACTTAAATAATTTTTAAAGATATAGATCATCAGGGAATTTCTCCAAGTGATTTAATGATTGTTAATTTGCAGATGGTTACATTTTCTGTCTCCTGCATGTCCAGAAATGTATTCTTTCAATTTGAGCCATAAATACTTTTTAATTGCAAAAGACATACAAAGTATAACTAATGCTCCAGCCTAACATTTACATAATGTGTTAGTCCATTTAGGTTAAATAATAGACCACCACATAGATTGGGTGGTTTATAACAACAGGAACTTATTTCATACACTTCTGGGGACTGGGAACCCCAAGATCAAGATGCCAGTAGATACAATTTACAATTTGTGGTAAAGGCTTGCTTCTTCATTCGTAAATGACATCTTTTAGCTGTGTCCTCACATGGCTGAAGTGGTGCAGGATCTCTCTGTAAGTCTTTTATTAGGATACTAATCCCATTCATGAGTGCTCTACCCTAATCACCTCCCAAAAGCCCCACCTCTAAATACATCACATCTGGGGTTAACTTTTGACATATTAATTTAAGGGAACTCTTGTGCATAAATAATGTTTTCTTTTAATGCAGTGCTTAGATACTGCTGTAACAGAGTCAGGTTTTCCTTCAATATTAATCCACACTAAAATTAAATAATTGTCAATCCTATTTCTTCAAAAACAAATAAATATACAAGGCAGATACTAGCCACTGTTATTTTTAAATGGTGATACCATTTCTTATATGCTACTATTCTCACAGTTTCATCATTGATGCTAATATTGTAGTTAAAACTACAAGAAAATTAATAACATGATTTTGATAACTAAGTAGAAATCTCTGTTTAGAACATTGCTTTTCAAAACAGATAATACCGCCCTATTGGGGTGTTTCAGAAATTTGTGCAGGATATTGTTGGAACAATATGCACTCAGTAAGGCAGAGAGCCAAGGATGCTCGCCATGGAGGGACAAGGAAAAATGGTCCTCTATCCCATATGACTTATAAATGGCCACTGAACAATTTTTGCATGTGTAAAAAATATAACGGTTTTAGTCTATAATCTAACTCTAGTTTGCATATAAACACAAAGGATTTGCAAACACATTTTAAGAGGGAAGTCTAAATGCTGTGTAAATCAAGAAATTGTACTTTTTGGAAGTAACTCAGCACTTTATCAAGAATTCTTTTGCACTTCTTTTTCTCATGCTTCCCATAGCAATATTGCTCATGATATTTTAGCTTCCAAAAAAACTCTACCAGTGTGTATTTGTAGCTGTTGCATTCTTTTATACAAATGCAAACACTCAACTATTTTATTTTCTAGTGTAGTTATACCTGAAAATTTTGTACTGAAATTTTCTAGTATAGTTATACCTGAACATTTATGTATTAAAAGCCTTCTTCTTTATATCATAGTCAGCATTGTATTGATTTTTGAGTGACTGTTATTTGTGTGGATTGGTTATATTATCTATGCATTCTATTTCATGATTTAAAAGAGAGGACTGGGAATGGTAAGGTTAAGAAGCACTGCATTAGAGGCCACATTAGATGATGACGATCAATAGAAAAATTATTTCTTTAATGCCTACTGCATTCTAAGTTCCTTCTGGGAAACTGAAAAGCCATCAACGCAAGTCTTTATGGACCAAATGCTTTGTTGAGCTAGTTTTTACAACACATTTTAAAAACTTGTGAGTACAATTTTTATTATATGGTTATTTTAAATCAGTATTACTGTTACCTATAAATATTAAGGGAGATTTAAAAATAAATGATATGTAATAGCAACTTTCAAGAACTTGAACTTAAGGGACACTTGTTTGTTACAAAAAATAAAATATCATACTCTGATGAACACCGTATAGAGTCATGAACAAGTGCCAAGTAACATAGAGTTGACTGACTGGCTTTAGTTTATAATGGAAGTGACCCTAGTTCTAGCCCTTGTAGATGGTAGAACCACAGAATATAGACATGGGGATGTGCCTTTGAAGTAGTAGGAAAAATACAGCCTTCAGAAAGATATGTTCATTAAAGGGAATGCAGCCTGGTGTTGATGAAACATACGGTGACTGAGTTCAGAAAGTAAAAAAATTGAAGTAGTATAATGAAAAATAAGATAAGATATTAGCACTAACAAGATATAAATAATATTGTACACAAGAATATGTACATAAATAATATTTTCTTTTAATGTTATGCTTAGATACTGCTGTATCAGAGTCAGATTTTCCTCCAATATTAATCCACAATAAAATAAAATTATTTCCATGCTGTTTCTTTAAAAACAAATAAATATACAAAGAGAGATATTAGCCATTGGTACTTTTTAAATGGTGATACCATTTCTTATACTTTACTCTTCTCACAATTTCATCATTGATGGTAATATTGTAGGTAAAACTAAAAAGAATTAAATTGAATAACATGATTATTATAACTAGAATAAATAGAAATCCCTGTTTAGAACACTGATTTTCAAATGGATAATACTGCCTTGTGTAGGAGATTTTTGAGACAATCTGCAATCAGTACAGCAGACAGCCAAGGATGCTCTCCATGGAGGGACAAGGAAGAACTGGAACAATAAGATTAGAAGATGTTAGAGATAACAAAAAAGCTATAAAAGGTTTAGAGGTGATTCACAAACTTGTGATAAAGAAAGCCATGATGGATAGATAGATAGATAGATGGATAGATAGATAGATACAATATAGATATAGATAGATGATACAGACATGTGTGTATGTGTGTGCATGACTATTATTTTCAGGATCTGGAATGTTGAAAATCAATATTGTTACTTTATTAACCAAAACACATTAGTCATTGGCTTTCTTCTCTTTTTGGCCCCTAAGTCTCTGCTGTCATACTTTAATGATTGCTGTTATAAAATCTGTTGTAGTTTAGACATTCATATGCTTTTTCACTGTACTGTGCTCTCCTTGAATATAAGTATGATATGAGTTGTTTTACATAATTTATCACACATGAAACTGATACTTAATGGATGTTTGAATAAATGAATACTGGGGTAAATGAATTATTACTATTGATAATATTAAATTACAACATTCGGAACTTAGGATTATTATTTTTTATCCAATGTATTAAATATACATGATCTTATCATCATTCACAATTATTTTCAAAGTATGTCGTTGTCCATTTCAACAGACTTGACACTGTTCAGTAAATCTCATTAAATTGTAATTTATTTTTATATATCAGTTGAGTCAAATAAGTTGTGGAACTTTGAGATATTAGAACCTCATTCATCACCAGTAGTGCTGCACACACACACACACACACACACACATATACATACAAAGTACAGATAGAGGCATTTGAGTGTATATATGAAAAACTTTTGTTAGTGCCAAAATGCTTTTATTCTGATGTGTTGAATTGATACAAATAAAAAATTCTTTTCTTAAACATTCATTTTTGCATTCATTTACCATATTTATAACATTCCAACTTTTATTTTTGTCATGTTTTGTTTGGGAAATATAGCAGAAATTTTGTAACATTTGAAAAGTAAATTGAAGTATTTAAAGAACAACTTGCCAATATCATAAAAATTTTAAATTTTTCATAACTTTTCATTCAATATTTTTACTTCTAGAAATTTATCCAACAGATGCACTCACGCAGTAGCTAGCTAGCTACATAGATAGATATAGAGTTAGGTAGATACAGGCATTATCTTGGCATGGTTTATAAGCATGAAAAATTTCTGTGGCCTAAATGCCCTTTTATTTGAGACTGGATAAATGAATTTTTGTATATACAAACATTACAATAATATTTAGTGGTTTAAATTAAAGAGGTTGATCTATATTACTCTAAATGGAAAAAATACTCATTTTTGTTATTTAGCTAAAAAATTAATCAAGTTTCAAACAAAATACAGAGTAGCTCTCATTTATGAAAGAAAAAAAAGAAAATAAACATTCTGGAAGAATGCACACCAATGTGAGTTCACTTTAATTTCTTCTAGAGAACAAAATTAGTCATTCCAATGAATAGGGAGAAAATTAATATCCCTCATTATGATTCAGTTCATTAAAATAAACATACATTAACTTTACAATTAAAGTATCTGACAGAATATGACAGTGTAACCAGGCAAGAATTTGCCAAGCCTTCCCTAAAATGTAGTGTACTTTGAACACAAAAATATGCCTTTAAAACTACATTCTGTGTTCAAGTTGTCAAAAGTGAATAATATTTATAATTTAAAGTGACCCAATATGAATAAGAGATATATGAAGTTAATGTGATATTTGAGTTAGAAAATTATTTCAAACTATCCTCCATTGGTCTGTTAAAAAAATAAAAAAGTACTAGGAATGAAGAATGAAATTGACTGACTTGAAAGTCTCACCATTTTTACCCCCTTCTGACTAGCTGTGATGGAGATGCCTGATGACTTGGTGAAGTACCCAGAAGGCAGGAAGCAGGGAACAAGCCAAAAAGCTAAAACTATAAGCCATGAGCATACTGGGCAGTTGAGAGGTGATGATTCATATTAAAAATGCAAGATAAATGCTAAAAATCACGATTTAATATCCCAATGTTTGTCCCAACTGATCAGTTTTCCTAGAGCTGATTCATAATGTCCTTTCAGATTTATGTGATTTCAGAAACCCTATCAAATTATACATATGTATTCTACTTCAATAGAATTTATTCTAGTTCTAAAAATTTGTAATGAAAATTTTCTTCTTTTTAATGTAAACCGTTTTTAAGGAATGACTCATAGTTTTCAGAACTGTTAATGTAATTGCTATTATATTTTTAAGATAAACTCTTTGGGAGAAAACGCTATTTAAAGAAAATAGCTTAAAAATCTATTCATGTTGAGAAACAGCTATACATGGCTTGGCTAAACAACATTTGTAGTATAAAAGCCACTATGAAAACTTCCTCAAATCATTTACCTAAAAGAGCCTAGTCATTCTCTGGATGTGTCAAAAGATCACAACACCAAAAGCTCTTTAGAGCTGCCTGCCCATTACTCAATTATCCCTTAGCGGGATGGTAACTACATCATAGATGACAGCTTAACTCTATTTTCCACAACATGATAGTTTATAAAATTACTGTCTATGCTATAGCATTTCTGTTTGATTTATGTCCAGCCTGAGGCATAAAATCTGTTTCCTTCCAGGAGGAAATTATGCTTTCTTGAATAGAAAGAGTAGATGACAACCATAAAATAACTGATTTATCCCCCTTCCCCAATTACCTACATTCTTTATTTCTAACAAAAACATAAAGAATAAGGAGATGCTAATGTTTCTAGTTTTGGTAAATGAGATTTAGTTTCTTAGTTGATTTGCTGGACACATGTGCTTCTAAACTTTATACCATAGCCAGTGTTTGTCCAGAAATTAAAATGTAGAGCTAGAAGAGAAAATGAATAAATCTCAACTTTGTTATTCAGCCCATTTTTATGCCATTGTCCCTTTTATGAAACACTTAACCATTTTTTGATGTGTGCAACTTAGTGAGTAATGATGTTTAAAACTGACCTTGGCAGGTCACAGGTTAACTCAATTTCCATTTACTCACATATAAGAAATTTTCCCACTTAAACAAAATAAGAAGAGCAAGGAGGAATTGTTTTTAAAAGTATGTCAATACATGGTATGGGAACACAAGTAAAACAGTCTTATAAGAAATTAAAGAAAAAGTATAAGAGGAGGAGCCAAGATGGCCAAATAGGAACAGCTCCGGTCTACAGCTCCCAGCGTGAGCGATGCAGAAGACCGGTGATTTCTGCATTTCCATCTGAGGTACCGGGTTCATCTCACTAGGGAGTGCCAGACAGTGGGCACAGGTCAGTGGGTGCAGCGCACTGTGCACGAGCCAAAGCAGGGTGAAGCATTGCCTCACTCGGGAAGTGCAAGGGGTCAGGGAGTTCCCTTTCCGAGTCAAAGAAAGTGGTGACAGACGGCACCTGGAAAATCGGGTCACTCCCACCTGAATACTGCGCTTTTCCGACAGGCTTAAAAAACAGCACACCAGGAGATTATATCCCACACTTGCTCGGAGGGTCCTATGCCCACGGAGTCTCACTGATTGCTAGCACAGCAGTGTGAGATCAAACTGCAAGGCGGCAGCGAGGCTGGGGGAGGGGCGCCTGCCATTGCCCAGGCTTGCTTAGGTAAACAAAGCAGCCAGGAAGCTCGAACTGGGTGGAGGCCACCACAGCTCAAGGAGGCCTGCCTGCCTCTGTAGGCTCCACCTCTGGGGGCAGGGCACAGACAAACAAAAAGACAGCAGTAACCTCTGCAGACTTAAATGTCCCTGTCCGACAGCTTTGAGGAGAGCAGTGGTTCTCCCAGCACGTGGCTGGAGATCTGAGAACAGGCAGACTGCCTCCTCAAATGGGTCCCTGACCCCTGACCCCTGAGCAGCCTAACTGGGAGGCACCCCCCAGTAGGGGCAGACTGACACTTCACATGGCCGGGTACTTCTCTGAGACAAAACTTCCAGAGGAACGATCAGACAGCAGCATTCGCGGTTCACAAAAAACCGCTGTTCTGCAAATACCACTGCTGATACCCAGGCAAACAGGGTCTGGAGTGGACCTCTAGCAAACTCCAACAGACCTGCAGCTGAGGGTCCTGTCTGTTAGAAGGAAAACTAACAAACAGAAAGGACATACACACCAAAAACTCATCTGTACATCACCATCATCAAAGACCAAAAGTAGATAAAACCACAAAGATGGGGAAAAAACAGAGCAAAAAAACTGGAAACTCTAAAAAGCAGAGCACCTCTCCTCCTCCAAAGGAACGCAGTTCCTCACTAGCAATGGAACAAAGCTGGATGGAGAATGACTTTGACAAGTTGACAGAAGAAGTCTTCAGACAATCAAACTACGAGCTACAGGAGGAAATTCAAACCAAAGGCAAAGAAGCTAAAAACTTTGAAAAAAATTTAGATGAATGTATAACTAGAATAACCAATACAGAGAAGTGCTTAAAGGAGCTGATGGAGCTGAAAGCCAAGGCTCGAGAACTACATGAAGAATGCAGAAGCCTCAGGAGCCAATGCGATCAACTGGAAGAAAGGGTATCAGTGATGGAAGATGAAATGAATGAAATGAAGTGAGAAGGGAAGTTTAGAGAAAAAAGAATAAAAAGAAATGAACAAAACCTCCAAGAAATATGGGACTATGTGAAAAGACCAAATCTACGTCTGATTGGTGTACCTGAAAGTGACGGGGAGAATGGAACCAAGTTGGAAAACACTCTGCAAGATATTAACCAGGAGAACTTCCCCAATCTAGCAAGGCAGGCCAACATTCAAATTCAGGAAATACAGAGAACGCCACAAAGATACGCCTCGAGAAGAGCAACTCCAAGACACATGATTGTCAGATTCACCAAAGTTGAAATGAAGGAAAAAATGTTAAGGGCAGCCAGAGAGAAAGGTCGGGTTACCCACAAAGGGAAGCCCATCAGACTAACAGCGGATCTCTCGGCAGAAACTCTACAAGCCAGAAGAGAGTGGGGGTCAATATTCAACATTCTTAAAGAAAAGAATTTTCAACCCAGAATTGCATATCCAGCCAAACTAAGCTTCATAAGTGAAGGAGAAATAAAATACTTTACAGACAAGCAAATGCTGAGAGATTTTGTCACCACCAGGCCTGACTTAAAGAGCTCCTGAAGGAAGCGCTAAACATGGAAAGGAACAACTGGTACCAGCCGCTGCAAAATCATGCCAAAATGTAAAGACCATCGAAACTAGGAAGAAACTGCATCAACTAACAAGCAAAATAACCAGCTAACATCATAATGACAGGATCAAATTCTCACATAACAATATTAACTTTAAATGTAAATGGACTAAATTCTCCAATTAAAAGACACAGACTGGCAAATTGGATAAAGAGTCAAGACCCATCAGCGAGCTGTATTCAGGAAACCCATCTCACATGCAGAGACACACATAGGCTCAAAATAAAAGGATGGAGGAAGATCTACCAAGCAAATGGAAAACAAAAAAAAGCAGGTGTTGCAATCCTAGTCTCTGATAAAACAGACTTTAAACCAACAAAGATCAAAAGAGACAAAGAAGGCCATTACATAATGGTAAAGGGATCAATTCAACAAGAAGAGCTAACTATCCTAAATATATATGCACCCAATACAGGAGCACCCAGATTCATAAAGCAAGTCCTGAGTGACCTACAAAGAGACTTAGACTCCCATACATTAATAATGGGAGACTTTAACACCTCATGGTCAACATTAGACAGATCAACGAGACAGAAAGTTAGAAAGGATATCCAGGAATTGAACTCAGCTCTGCACCAAGCAGACCTAATAGACATCTACAGAACTCTCCACCCCAGATCAACAGAATATACATTTTTTTCAGCACCACACCACACCTATTCCAAAATTGATCACATACTTGGAAGTAAAGCTCTCCTCAGCAAATGTAAAAGAACAGAAATTATAACAAACTATCTCTCAGACCACAGTGCAATCAAACTAGAACTCAGGATTAAGAATCTCACTCAAAACCGCTCAACTACATGGAAACTGAACAACCTGCTCCTGAATGACTACTGGGTACATAACGAAATGAAGGCAGAAATAAAGATGTTCTTTGAAACCAACGAGAACAAAGACACAACATACCAGAATATCTGGGACACATTCAGAGCAGTGTGTAGAGGGAAATTTATAGCACTAAATGACCACAAGAGAAAGCAGGAAAGATCCAAAATTGACACCCTAACATCACAATTAAAAGAACTAGAAAAGCAAGAGCAAACACATTCAAACTCTAGCAGAAGGCAAGAAATAACTAAAATCAGAGCAGAACTGAAGGAAATAGAGACACAAAAAACCCTTCAAAAAATTAATGAATCCAGGAGCTGGTTTTTTGAAAGGATCAACAAAATTGATAGACCACTAGCAAGATTAATAAAGAAAAAAAGAGAGAAGAATCAAATAGACGCAATAGAAAATGATAAAGGGGATATCACCACCGATCCCACAGAAATACAAACTACCATCAGAGATTACTACAAACACCTCTATGCAAATAAACTAGAAAATCTAGAAGAAATGGATAAATTCCTTGACACATACACTCTCCCAAGACTAAACCAGGAAGAAGTTGAATCTCTGAATAGACCAATAACAGGAGCTGAAATTGTGGCAATAATCAATAGCTTACCAACCAAAAAGAGTCCAGGACCAGATGGATTCACAGCCGAATTCTACCAGAGGTACAAGGAGGAGCTGGTACCATTCCTTCTGAAACTATTCCAATCAATAGAAACAGAGGGAATCCTCCCTAACTCATTTTATGAGGCCAGCATCATCCTGATACCAAAGCCTGGCAGAGACACAACCAAAAAAGAGAATTTTAGACCAATATCCTTGATTAACATTGATGCAAAAATCCTCAATAAAATACTGGCAAACCAAATCCAGCAGCACATCAAAAAGCTTATCCACCATGATCAAGTATGCTTCATCCCTGGGATGCAAGGCTGGTTCCACATACGCAAATCAATAAATGTAATCCAGCATATAAACAGAACCAAAGACAAAAACCACATGATTATCTCAATAGATGCAGAAAAGCTCTTTGACAAAATTCAACAACACTTCATGCTAAAAACTCTCAATATTTCATTCATTTTCTTAGCTGCACAGTGTAGCAGTGCATGAATACAACACAGTTTATTTATTCACTCTGCTGTGGATGGATGTTTGCTTTGTTGCCAGTTATTATCTGTCAATAATATAGACAGATATAGACAGATAATATAGACAGATATAGAGATATGATAGGTAGGTAGATAGGTAGATATGTAGGTAGATAGGCAGGTAGATAAACAGATAATATAGATAGATACAGACAGATGATAGGTAGATAGGTAAATAGGTAGGTAGATAGGTAGATAGGTAGGTAGATAGGTAGGTAGATAGATAAATAGGTTGATAGATAGACATAGACTGAACATTCTGGTTATTCAAAAGTTTATGGATGTAACTTACATAGAATTTCTTTTTGAGCCACTGTCTTTGTATTTATAGCTGAACTAAATGTATGGTTTCATCTCTCTTGTAAAGTATTCTGGTAGATAAATACGAATGAACAAAGCCATAACTATAATGACAAAAGAATATCATGAAACTAAATATTTAATGGGATATGGATATTTGTTCTATGCTTAATAAGAAATATCCCTTTTCTGTTTAATGAGCAGTATATTCCTTTAATATATGTACATTCTAGTCATGTTATGATATTGTTGTATTGAACAAACAATTTTATTATCTATGTATGAATATACTGTGAATGTGCTAGTTTTGTGCCAAAACCAATATACCATACATAATTGGTGCATTATGCTTATTCTGACAGAAGCTACCATTACCAGTACTGTATAGTCTTAATAAACTTAAGAAACATGTATTGTCAAAAACTGAAAATTCTTGAAAATAATTAAGATATATAATCACCAAAATAAATAATAATGGGGGTATTTATTCAGCCCACTCATTGGTAGTAACTAAATGTTTCAAAATATAGAAAAGAAAACTTTATGTTCCAATAATTTATATTTAATATTTATGTAAAGCTTACCCTGAAACAAACAAGTTAATTAGCGTGATCAAAGCAAATCATCAATAAAAATAGCTAATGCTGAAGTTTTTATGGATTTCTGCATATGCCCAGTAGATTCAAGGTTTTGAAGTTCATGAAAAAGCCAGGAAAGAGTCCCTTTGTTTTCTTGTGACTTGAGGCATACTTATGAATTTGATCCTTTCTCCTTTTTTTTCCTTAGTAGGTAGTGATTGGTATTTATGAAGCAGATATTAAGGTGCTAGTAGCACTTTTAAGTTGCTGAATATCTCAGAAAAAATGTTTCATATTTAAAATATGGAGATAATTTGAGTCAGATTTTTCATAGAGAAAAAAATAAGAATTTTTGTCTTGATGGATATTCTTGCTGGAATTTGGTTTGGTTTGATTTTAATTTAAAAATAGTCAACATCAGTTTAACAGGCCTGACTTGTAGTACAGAAATAATATGATCCAAAGAATAATTTTAGTGAGGCAGAAATTATGACACTTTTGTAACATTTGTTCAAGACCTAAAATTGCATACTTATTTTAGTTCCACAGATAATTGATAAGAATCTGTCATGATGAGAATCTTCCAATAAAAAGATAAATTTAATTGACAAAGTTTGGTTGTATAGTTTATTTTCCAGAGGCATTGTGGATATAGTTGAGGCAATTTTTTGGATGAACCTCTCACAACCCATTTGTTTCAACAGAAATATATAGGAAATATCCTACAAGTACTATCTGTGTTTATTATATTGCTTAGATAGAGGAGGAAAAAACACAAATATCAAGTTGGTTTATTCATGACAGATGTTGTAATGGGGAAAAAAGAAAAGCAATAACCTTGCAGTGGTCTGCAACTGCTGACCCAATCACCGGATTGTTGTAATACCTACACTTATTAAAATTTGTCTCATCATGTAAAATAAAGCAGTTGGACCAATAAGTGTTACGCCCCATTTATAATAAGCTGGTCTTAGGGGTTAGTAAGCCAGAAGAAAGTCAGTCCCATTGCGTATGTTATCAGCTTGGGGTTGAAAACCTTAAGGAGAGAGCTCTGCATCTAATGATACCTGGGATGCAATAAGATCATTATTCTTGCAGCCCACAGAGTGGTCCTGTGGCAGTGCACATCTTTACTGTTTGGAAGATAAGCAGAGATTTCAATCATTCATTTGGTTATGTTTTGAAACAAAAAAAGAAGGCTAAGAATTAAGCAGCTGGCTCCAGGAAGAATACTAATTAATATTCATTGTTGTCCATAACCTTAGAAAGAACATTCAAATCCTGAGAGAGTTTTATCCTAATGAAGGGTAAGAGATTAAGTTGTGCCAGTTGTTTTTTTTAATTTTGACAGTAAGCACGACATATGTGTATGTGAGTCTCTGTGTGTGTGTGTTTGTGTAAAAGCTGGTATTAACAAAAATTTGGTTATGATTATGATAATTAGAAAATAAAGTTTGGAACCAGTATCTATGTGTTCTAAAGCTCACTCTACCACTTGCCATTTTAAGTTGGAATGATAGAAATGAGGCTGTTGTAAGAATGAAAATATTTAGTGTATTTAAGATAGGATGGTCTTTGTCACATAGTAAACACAGTACTAGTTAGATGTAGTATAGGTAGAAAATATTAAGCTACATTTTCCCCTGCCTATTTTATTTTGGTTAAATCAGTAGTATTTAAAACAAAAATAAACTGAAATAAGAACCCAGCAATTTTTGGATTCTGTGAATTGACCATTTCTATCCTGTCTTCTTTGTGTTAGCATAAGCATTTCGATATACATTAAACAAGGATAAGTCTTTGATGCTAAATCAGTCTTCCTCACATTTTCTAGGAAAAATCATCATTGATGTGCATGTTTTATTCAAATATATCTTCTAGGAAGCTACTACCACTGATTTTGAATCCAGCACCTGCTAGGTGAAGACTCAGCCTTCAAATATTTTGGGAAAAAAGTTGATAAATTATGTACAAATGCATATACACAAATATATGTATACGTTTAAGAAAAGTAAACTTTGTCATGCAGACATAAAATTTTAAAAAGTGGATTGTTTCAGTACATGCTTTTTAATTAGAATGACTTGCCAGTGATAAGCATTTTAGTTATGAGAGCTAGAGTGAGGGGGAAAATCTTAAAGACGCTACCTTAAGTGTCATTCTCTCACCTCGACTGCAACCACTTCAGAGACATTCTACTTTCCTCTACCATGGATTTCTGAAATGTCATTGTACACAAGTGGTAAGATTGTTTTTAATCACATACCTAAACACATTTAGAACTTCTAATTATTACCTAAATGTCCATTTGTTTGGCAACCACATTAACAATGTATAAATGTTTATCAAATAGGGCTTCTCAAACTATCTGTAGATAAGGGCCCTTTTTAAAATTTACAATTAATCATAGATTGACACGTTTGTAAAAGTGAATGAGTATGAATGACTAGAAAAATGAATTTAAGAAAACAGAAGCCAATCACAAAATATCACATGTTGTATGTTTTCAATCACATGAAATGTCTGGGATAAACAGAGACAGAATGGAGCTTAGTGGGTTGTCTATGACTAGAGGCAGACTGGACAGTAGCTGCTAATGGGTACTGGGTTTATTTTCAGGGTGATAAAAATGTTGCAAAATTAGATTGTGGCGATGGCTGTAGAAATCTGTAAATATGCTAAAAACTAGTAATTAATACACTTTAAGTGGGTACAATTTATATGTTATATCTAAATAAGACTGTTTTTTAAAAAGACATGCAAAACACAAAGACAATGTTTTTATTACTGAACTCAAAAGATGACAGATTACATTTCAATAAATATAATAAAACAAACATGACAGGCTTGGGAAAAAGGAACAATGGTAATTATACACGGCATTAAATAGGACATTTTTCAGATTGTTGAGCAAGAAATTAAGTATAGATTATAATACTTTCACTTTTGTATTCATTCAACAAATGATTGAGATACCTATGTGAAAGTTTCTAGATCTTGAGGATAAATAAAATTTAAACATTCACCAAAGTGAAGAAAGATATTAAACAATACTTTTATATGTAAATAATATATATACTGGCATTGTACAACAAGTACTGTAAAGGAAAATTACAGGTAGTTAAGGAAGCACAATGTAAAAGGAAATAGTTTAGGCTGGGAGGGGCAGTGTTGGTATAGGAGAAAGGGAGTTTGAAACATTTATCAATCAGTCAAAATTAACCAGATGAGGAGAGAGATTCCAACAGAAGCACTGGCTTGAGTAAATGCTTTGAGATTAAAACAAACAAACAAACAAAATCATGCCCTATTCAGAGAACTGAGACAGTCCCTCTGTGAAGGTATATTGTGAATGAGGGAAGATAATTCTAGGTGAGGCCAGAGTAGTTGGAAGGAAACAGGCTATTTCCTTTGTTTACCACAACATAGATTTTGAATTTTAACCTGAGTACAATTGCAGTAGTAGAAAAGTCCATTTTGATCCACTTTACAGTTTCAAAGATCACTGGCAGTTATCTGGAGAATGGACTAGGAGGGGAGGTAAAATGTTTAAAATATTCTTACAAGTTTTGCTTCCCTACCAGGCCCCCCAGAAATTGAAGAGTACCCTTCTCCTCAAAATAAACCTGTAGTGAAGCTGCATCCCTACAAACACCTCCATAGATCTGTCAATCTGGTTCACTGCTTATTTCCTGGTTAATTATTAATCCATTCTATCTCATCATCGATTAAACATACACTGTGCATGTATGTGTATTTGTATATATATGTCTGTATACATATCATAGCATTTTAAACACTTGCTTTTTTCCTTCTTTCTTCACAACTAATATGAATCAACCAGCTTAAATCAACTGAATTCCTAATTGAGGCTATCCATTGATTATGGCATGAGGAATGATTTGTACCATAGTCTCAATTGTATTTCCACTAATAAAAACATTTTAAAGGTTTTCATTTATTTTAATAAAATAATAAGAGCAAAATATACTATAAATTTAAAATAATTGCATGAACTTAAATTGTATTACAGAGATGTAAACACTGCCAAAGTTACCAATGTCACCATGAAAAATCTTAAAGTATTTGTTAAGTGAAATATAAAATGCAATACAGAGTATATGGAATATAAATATATATTTATATATATGTATAGAGAATGCCACATATATATTTGTCTTTATATATAAGTATAGAGAATGCACATACATATGTATATACAAATATACAGAACACAGACACATTGCTTAGGGTTGTCAATGTTCACAATATACATTGTGTAACAGCAGAGCTAGGACAGATAAAGAATATCTTTTTTCCCTTTACATTCCGTTTGTTTACGTACTACCTCCACCATCACTCTTTGCAAGGTCATCTATATTTTAATCTGAGCTCTTTACCTACTTTTTACACTCTCCTTCTGTATACATGTCTAGTACTCACAATTTCAAATGTGTCACATCAGTTAATTTTAAAAGAAATATTTTGTACCAGAATATTGACCATGAATATCACTGTATTATGAATTATGTAGTATTATGAATTAGTACAATAATGAATTATACTAATTCATTAATTTTTTCTCTTAGTTTGCAAACTGGACTTTAAGGTTTTAAAGCATGCTCTGTAAATATCTGCAAACATGCAAATTAGCTATTGCATTTTCATCTAACTCTGAAGAAAAAAAAATAACAAAGCATAGTAATGTAACACTGTAAATAACACCCCTAAAGAGTGTTAAATCAATCAGGATATCTTGGAAGGTAGTCATATTTAATGTACTTGGATTATTATTAGACCTATCTTGTCTAACTTTTCAAAGAAATTAGCAATATATCATTCCATTAAATTTAAGCAAACAATTTTGAGATGTTTTGGTCATTATCAGTTAATGACCAATAAGTATAGTAATTTACTTATTATCAGGATAATCTCAATTTGACAGATATTTTCAAATAAATAGTGTAATTAATCTCGTCACTATAGTAAATTGCAGTTTTTGCACAACAGCAGTTCTCAAACTTTTTGGTTTCAAGACCTCTTTAGATGCATAAAAAGTACTGAGGATGACAAATAACTTTGATTATGTGGCTTATATATATTGATGTTTATCATTTTAGAGATTAAAACTAAAAAGATTTTCATTATGTAAAATTTAAAATGACTATCATATATTAATACATATATTAATATGAAAGATTAAATATTTAAAACATACTTTCTAAAAATGTAGTAAGAAAAGCATTTTTATACATATTCTTTAATGTCAGTATTAATAGAAAAGAGCCCGAGGCTCTTATCTGCTTTTGCAGTCATTTCATGGTGAAATGTTGTTTTACTTGTTCTATATAAAGGCAATCCAGCCTCATACAAATGTAGCCGGGAAAGGGAGGAGCACTTTAGTAGTGATAGTGGCAGGAGGCAGTCAAATGCCTAGGCAGATAGGGGACGGGTCCCCAGTGAAGCCTAACCTTCAAACCAAAGACAGTTTTAAGCAAGAAAACCAAGCTATGAATCATGAACAAATCCACAGACCAGACTGAAAACCTCTCTTCCTGTCTGATGCACTTGCCTCTCATTGATCCCTACTCTTCACCTACTTTTTCGTATACCTACCCTTCCCTAATTTGTATTTTACACTGTCATGCCCATCTTTATGTGGTGCCATTTTTTAGACATTTTTGCATACTCACAAACCAATTAGCATGAACTCCCCCATTCTAAGCCCATAAAATCCCTGGACTCAGCCACACTTTAGGATTACCCATCCTTGGTGTTGGGAGCAGAGACTACCCAACTTCAGGTAAGGGGGCTTCCTAACTTGGGGCCCCTTCTTCACTGAGAGCTGTTTCATTGCTCAAAAAATCTCTTCTCTTCCCTGCTCACCCTCCAGTTGTCAGTGTAACCTCATTCTTCTTGGACACAGGATAAGAACCCAGGACCCACTAAATGTGGGAACGAATAAAGGCTGTAACATTGCTGTGTGCCCACCTTATGCGACAGGAAGCAATGGCAGGGCTGGGTCAGCCCAGGAGCCATGGGTCAGAGTGGGGTGGCAGGACTGAACAAGCTGTAACACAAAAAGGCTGAAGCACACCTGGCCCAGCCACAGACTGAGTGCAGATTCTGAAGTGAGCATGGGATCTGGGACAGAGTGCAAGCCAGGCACAGACTGCTGAGCCAAGAGGGTGGGGCACCACCAGTAGTGAGCCCAAAGCCAAACAGGGCGTGGGCAAGGGCTTCACCAGCCACGGAGTTCTGCAGCTGGCAAAGTGGCACCAAAAATCCTGGGTCAGTAGATTTTTCAGATAATTAATTTTTCAGATAATTATGGATATTCTTGATAACATAGCAAAATTTAATCAGTGATTTGGAATCGGAAACCATGTCAATTAACTTTTTACAATCTGTCACGTTAAAATCCACTGATCTATCTTGGACTTTGAAAGGATCTTTTACCTATTCATGAATATGTAACATCATTTATTAATCATTTGGAAAATATTGATTGAGTTATGCAGATATTCCATATTTTGACACATCTCATTTTACAATATCACTGCATTTGTTAGTTAATGTTACCACCTGCACCTATCTGATCAGAAAAGGCTTTATGGATTGGGAGGCTGTCAAGATAACATCAGTTGTCACAAGTTTCCAAAATTCTAATTTTCACTTGAAATATCAGATGCCATCATTGGTAAAAAATATAGTCAGTTATTTTCCTTAAAATTGCAGTTTTATTTTATTCTTCTTTAAGAAAATACCTGCAAATACCTAAATCTGAATAATCACAGTTTGTCAATTGTTCTTTCAAATAAAAATGGTGGTCTAAGAGGAAAGTAATGAGTTCACAATTCAATTACACAAGTGCTTTTCCTGGGGACAACCACAGTACTTTGGTTTGTAGCAGAATTATTATTTGTATACTCCCCACTTAGCCACACAGACTATGTGAGACTTAGCAAAATTAAAGGTAGATATTTAATAACATTAACAATTTGTACTGCTTCACCAAGGATTTTCTTATGTGTGACTAGATTTTGTTTTTCTTGTTTTTCTTGCAAATGCATAGCAAAGAAGAATACAATGATTACTGGTATAGTTGGGTACTACTGCTATGGTGTCAGCATTTTTATTCACCATTACTTTTGCACCATCAGTACAAATGTCAACACAGTATAAAAGGTAAATAATGTCTTCTTATTATTAAGCTAGTTCTAAGCCCTTAGAATACTTGAAAGGGTCTCAAATACTTGCAAAGTTCTGCAGAACACATTGAGAGAACAATAGATACAAAGAAAAATAAATAATGTCAGCATTTAACAAGAAAAAGAAAAAAAAAAACCTCAAAAGCACTTTGCCTAAGGTGAGCACTGAGATGAGGAGTATAGCCAAAAGTGGAAAACATATTTTTTAAGTGTAGAAAGATGGGCTGGGTGTGGTGCCTCATGCCTGTAATCCCAGCACTTTGGGAGGCTGAGGTGGGAGAATCACCTAAGGTCAGGAGCTGGAGACCAGCCTAGCCAAAATGGCAAAACCTCGTCTCTATTAAAAATACAAAAATTAGCCGGGCATGGTGACAGGCACCTATAATTCCAGCGACTCAGGAGGCTGAGGCAGGAGAGTCGCTTGAACCCAGAAGGTGGAGGTTACAGTGAGGCTGAGACCATGCCACTGCATTCCAGCCTAGGCAACTAGAGCGAAACTCTGTCTCAAAAAAAAAAAAAAAAAAAGTGTAGAAAAATGAGACAGCACTACACTTGTCAATCACAGGACAGCTCCATCATCATTCTCCTTGACAAGCCTTTACACCCATCTTCACAGCACTCTATTTGCAACTCCAAGTAAAGGTTGCATCATGCTAATAAAATCATCCAGAGACATAGAGCAGAAGGAATTTTTTTTTCTGGTAAATTCCTCCTCCTACACTTAGCTTTGTTTATTCTCCTTTTCTGTAAAGAAGACATTCTCCTACCTCTACACAATCATGTTGCAAAGACTAATTAAATAAAATACAGAAAATATTTTGTTTCCTACAAAAAGCACTGTATTTATTTATTTATTATTTTATTTTTTTGTAGAGCATAGGTTTCTCTATATTGCCCAGCTGGTCTTGAACTCTCAGCCTTGAACGATCCTTCCTCCTCTGCCTCCCAAAGTTCTGGGATTACAAACATGAGCCATTATGCTTAGCCAAAAAAATAAAAGCACTATTTTAGTACCTATCATTCTGTGATGTATGAAACTCTGCTCCTGACAACTTGCTGATGTTTTTCAGTTTAGCTTCATTTGGCGTGATTGTGTACTAAGGATAGGGTCTTCTAATATGCAAATGAGGCTGTGTTCTGAATTCCAGTCATAGAGGGTCCAAAACATACAAGCAGCAGGGTAGCTAATGGGCTTTGTTAATAGGAGATAAATTTGAATTTAGCAGTAAAGTGACTCAGACTTTGATGTTATTTAAATTCACTTAAAGATAGAATTTATTTCCTTCTCAAAGAGTTGACTGGGTCTAATTTTTTTTTATTTGTATTAGCAGTTGTCCTCATCAGGGAGAAGAAAAGACAGTGACCTGTTATCCCACCACCATGGCATTAATCATTATCAAGTTCAGTATGCCCAAATACAAAGAAATATCCCTAGAATGTTCCAGTTAGCAGTCAATTTTGTCTATTAATTTGAAGTTGAGAGTATAGTTGCTTTTTTCACAAAATAAAGATGAATAATGCTTTTTTAAATTTTAATTTGACCTCTTTAATAATATATTCACATAATTTAAATTTCAAAAGATATATAAGCATATTCAGTAAAATTCTCTCATCCAATCCCATCCCCAGACACCTACTTCATCCAAGAAGCACACAGTATTGTAATGGATTAGAAAAAGGAAAGTTTCGACATTTTCCCCTTGTTGGAGTTTTTTAAATGCCATCTATATAAGAAACAGAGAGATTTTGATAATCTTTAAAACTGCAAGTACCATATCTTTTCCATATTGAGCAAAATATACTTCAATTTAGTGGATGTTTAAAAGTATTGCTTTCTGGCATTTGTTTTTAAAAGAAAAGTTAAGAAGTTTTATATGAACATATTTTGCAGTTCTAAGTTCAAATTAATGAAGCAGTTAGAGTGTCAATTTGTATCAATTTTTCTAGGATTACATTTTCTTGCTTCAGTGTCAGTGGTTCCTGCAAATCCTACAGAATCAAGAAAACGTATTTCAAACTTTGTAGAAAATTTGAAAATCTAAAATCTAATTATAATCCAAAATCTAATTCTATCCTGAAGAAGAAATTACTAATACCATTGCTTAACCCATTTGCTAAGGAAGTAAGTGCATTGAAAATGATCTAAAGCATTTTTTTAATTTCACGGACAAATAACTTTGCACCCCACTATAAAAGAAATTAGTAAGCTCAGGGAGCCTTCTTAACCTTAATTATTTCTTTGGAAAATAAACTGCACACATATATAGGTCTTGAATCAGTTTTTCAAGTTAATCATTTAAACACAAATAAGCTAGTTGCACTTTACTCATTGTGAGAAACAGAACATTTCCACTGTTCTTTTAAAGATGTAGCAAGAAAACAACGTGAAAGCAAGGGAAACATTTTAGCTTCACCTCTCACCAAACACAGCTAGTTCTGAAAGCTATGACTATAATTACAACTATAAGAACTTTTTCTTCAGCACAGCTTTATTTTAGAGTAGCCAAAATTCATTTGTTCATTAAAATTCTTTTTTAAAAAACAGAAAAGTAATATTATATATTGGTCACATGACATGATTTCTCCTTTATCTGCATACCTCGTTTTTAGAATTAATTTTTAGAAAGTGAAAATTACTAAACACAAAGAATTTCAAAAATAGACATCCACCAAAATAAAACCCAGCTGTTTTACTAATACGTGCATTTTAGAATGATATTAAAACTCAGTTTAATTACATTTCTGAAAAATTATGTGAATCTTATTCTAAATTCCTTTGATTCTTGTTTTCTTTTTTTTTTTTTTTTTTTTTTTTTAAGCATGTCACTTCCCAAGTTATGGATACTTGGACAATCAAGTATTTAGTTTCGCTCCTCTTCTCTTGTCATTATCCACAACATTTCTTCCTGGAAGATTTTTTTTAAAAGTCTAAACTTTCTCTGCATGTTTTCTGGGGGCTGGGAGGAAGCAAAAAACAAACAAACAAATAAAAGAAAAATCATCCATATGATGAGAAAATGCAAATTCACTCAATGAATATTGCTGCTGAAGCTATGTGGCTTTTATATTGAGCTAATATTTCAAGCAGATTTTTTTTCCTCTGTTTATGGCAAAAGCTGTGAAAAATTTAAAAATCATTGTGGAAAAATTTTTGTCTCATGTGACCATAAATGATTGTTTATATAGAAAGGTTAATTTTTCTGAACTACACCCTTTCTTTCATGACTCCAAGGAAGAATTTTAAAACTAATTTTACAATCTACTCTTTTCAAGTAGCTTTTTCTGTGAAACTGAACCATTATCTTTGTTTATTAAGATATGAGATTCAAAAGATAATCGACTCTATTTCTATATGTCAATGTTTATGTAAATATCTTATTTACTTTGCTTACCTATTAATCCATTTACCTATTGGATTGATGTTGTATCTGTAATTTTGTTCTTTTCCAATACATCAGTCCTCATGAGGACACCATTTCTATTTATATCATTCTAATTCAAATTCATGATATATTTGACATTAAATGATTATTTTCTTTTCATATGAATATTTTCTAAGTTTAGATGATTGGTTGACTAAAATATACCAATTTGAAAATTAACCTTAAACTTATTGTCATTCTCAGCAATTTCTTCCCCTACTCAAGTTCACAGACCTAGGCATATTCTGACTGCTCTGAATTATAGATCATCATTTTAATAGTGATTCTGGTGAAAATCTGTCAGTTTCTCAATTCAAATTATGAAAATTGAAGAGTTTGTAAAGTATAGAAGAAACATATTGCTGTGATTCAGCTGTTCATTGTATGGGCTGCGCTACCTTCAGTGTAGGATTCTTACGATGGAGAGTAATCATCTCTGTGTCCTTGAGGCTGAGGACTTGTGATATAATGACAGCCAGAATGGCACTCAGAGCCCTAGCATCAATTTGAGTTTCCAGAAATAGTCCACCTTCCCACACACTAGTCCAGTTTTAGGATATTAGTATATATGTGCATAGAGTTTCCAAAGAAAAGATTTGGGGTGGTGGTTAAGTCAGAAGCATAGACACAATCATTGAACTCAAAATTGTACTTTTGTGGTGTTGTGAACATAAGATCGCAGTACTATCCTCCTTGGAAGTAAAGATATGTGTTTGTTGTTTCTGCCACAAAAACTGTCATTATAAGCACAGTTATAAATGGGGCTGTCTTCTTTTTCATTTAAAATCTTCTCCTGCTCATCTGAGTTCTGTGCTTCAGAAATGTATACAATACCAACAAAAACTGAGAAAAGTCTTCCTAATACAGGTAGATAATAACAATTATCACTATTACTAGTCCTGCCATCATAGCCACCACCAAAATTATCTCATGTATACCAGGTACTATGTGAGATAATTTAAATATGTGATATCATTGTACCATCACAACAAACCAAAAGGTAGACATTGTCTCCAATTTATAGACAGAGAAACTCAAGTTTTTGTTAGTGTATCTGTCAGTCCCTAAAGAAGGGAGTATTTACAGAGTATAGTCAGGGTTAGGGGAACTAACAAAGGATGGTCAAACACCCAGGCAGGAACAACAGCAGGAAGCTATCATATTTCATACAAAAAAGAGCATGGAAAAGGAATCTGACCCCTGTGAGCCTGAGAAGGGGAGACACCCAAACTGATAGGAGTTCTGACTGAGAGGAAGCTGGTTACTGCCAGACTGATGTGAGGCTGGGCGGGAGCCGACTGAATACATAACTGACCTCTTGCTTCTTTCACACTCTGGGTGTCATCAAGTGGCTCCTATCAGCTGTACCCAATGGCAATCCAGAGAGCAAGTTAGCAAGATGTGGCAGCCCATGAAGCTCAGGCTCTAGGGGCACAGAAAGGTGGAAAGGAGTGATTATTATACAAAGAATAATCACCAGAGATGGTTGCTTTACATGGAAGTAAGCAGCAGAGCTGGAATTCAAATGCAGTTTTGTTTTCTCCAAAAGCAACACTCTTAACTCCATATACATTTAAAGGCTCATTGGATTAGAGATTTAGAGTAGACGGTGATCTAAGAAGAAATTAGAAATAACCAGAGAAGAGAAAACCAGACTAATTGTTCCTTCTACTTTCTCTTTCAAGAAGTGAGGGGCATTTATGATGTTTAAAACTCCTTTCCTCTTAAAAAGCTACAGTAAATACGATGATGATGATGATGATCATGATGATCATGATGACGACGATGATGATTAGAATAATAACTCCTGGCATTCAGAATTTTGTAAATAACATCACTGTATTATACCTCATGCAGACTAAATTTAGATTCCTTAAATTAAAAAGAAAACATCTCAGCTGCATGTGACTTATAGCAAAGAGCTTTTGATTCACACTTGCTGGGTAAAACAGCTGATGCCCTATAGCTCCCTGTGGTTCATGAGGGAAGAGTGTGATGCAGTGGGGAATATGGGTGAACTGCCCACTACGTTCAGCAGCTACATGCATAGCTTTTACATACAAATTGGTTTCAAAGTGCTTTTATATCACTGGAGTTTTTTATTTTTACTTGTGTCTCTACATATTCATGTTCTGCATTTTACCATATCTACAACCATACAAACAATACTCTTTTATTCTGACTTGTTCTTCATATGTAATACTAAAAAATCTATTTCTGAATTTATTGTTCCAGAGTGAATATGTTCTTATAAGACAAGCAAAATTACTCATTCACTTTGTATTTATTGACCACCTATGGTGAACCAGGCATTGTTCTGGACACTAGGAATCTAGTAGTAAATAACTCAATCAAAAAATCCCTGACTTCATTCTAATGGATAGACAGACAATAGTAAGATGTATAAATAAAATATATATTACATTATATGATGACAAGTGCTAAGGGATGAGACCAAACAAACCAAAACAGAGAAGAAGGATAAAGAGGGTCAGGGGTGATAGCACAACAGGGTAACTATAGTCAATAATAACTTAATTGCACATTTTAAAATGTAATCAATTTGTTTGTAATACAAAGGATAAATGCTTGAAGGGATGGATACCCCATTCTTCATGATGTGATTATTACGCATTGCATGCCTGTATCTTAACATCTCATGTACCCCATAAATATACCTACTACATATCCAGAAAAACTAAAAATTACAATAAAAATGTGTCAGGGGTATTTTCATTACTTATTAATATTTGGAAAAAGAAAAAATAAAGAGTAAATACTAGCTGTGATCAAGAGATTATGTGATGTACTTCCTATGCATTATCTAATGCAAAAATCGCCTTTCCTAATGCATCTTTTAATTTATCAGAAATTTGGATTTGAAGACATTATGACTATAAAGCCATATTCTCATTTTGCTCCAGAACAACTCTTCGTTTTTTAGATTCATTTCTTTTGGAATATTCTTTCATGCCACTATGGAATCTGAAATGTGCATATTGTAGAAAAAAAATCTATAGAAGTAATCAGTTATCAGAGTTAGGCTAACTTTTTTTCTTTTTAAATTAGGGCAATGTTATAAATAATCAACATTTCATTTTATAATATCTTGTTTTTTAGGTTTAAAGTTTAAAGATTATAATGTAGGCCGGGCGTGATGGCTCACGCCTGTAATCCCAGCACTTTAGGAGGCGTAGGTGGGTGGATCACGAGGTCAGGAGATCCAGACCATCCTGGCTAACATGGTGAAACCCCATCTCTACTAAAAATACAAAAAAATTAGCCGGGCGTGGTGGCAGGTGCCTGTAGTCCCAGCTACTCGGGAGGCTGAGGCAGGAGAATGGCATGAACCCGGGAGGTGGAGCCTGCAGTGAGCCGAGATCGTGCCACTGCACTCCAGCCTGGGGGCGACAGAGAGACACTCCGTCTCAAAAATAATAATAAATAAATAAATAAATAAATTCATGTTTTATTATATTTCTTTTTTATTTCCTTTTTAGGGGCACAATTGCCATTATTCTTGAATATAGCAGAGGCAAAAGGATAAATATGTAATTATTAAATTTTAAAACAATAACTTCATTTGAAATTTATAATGGATGATTTTAGGTAATTGAAAATAATAAGGATGAAGAACAATCTGCTTTCCAAGTTCATTGGTAAAAGTAGATCACATATGCAAAAATGTTCAATTAACTACCTTTTAACAAATTCTCGCTAGAGATATTGTAAAACCAATGTCTATATGGATCTTAGACTGCAGTAATTTTAAAGAGTGATCCTTCTCATTAATAAACTATGTTTTTAAAGAAAGCAATAGAACAGAAAGCACCAAAACAATTTTGGACAACTATAGTGTAATGGCTAAGAGCAAATATTTCATTGGTAGAGAAATCTCTGTGTATGACCTTTGATACTTACCAGTTGAGTGACACTGCATAAGCAGAGTACATTTTCCAAGTTTATTTTATCTTCATAAAATGAGAAGGGTACTTGACTAAATGTTGCTATTTGGATTAGATGATATAAGGCATGTAAATTATTAAATGCAAGTTTTGGCTTATAGTAAGTACCTAATGAGTGTTGGTTTTTATTGTAATGATCCAGATTGGTGATGAATGCAGCATTTTGCTACTACTCTTTACAATATTTCCAGGAAAGAGATTGAGGTTTGGAAATCAGCCTTTTCAGCAAAACTATAAACTCTGTAGTAACCGTATTTGGAATTATAGGCAGAAAACAGATCTGTGAGAAATGTAATTCTCAAGGGATTTATGAGAAATTGCAGAAAATATATATTATAAATAATTTCAGCTCCTTTTCTTTGGGAGGAGACATGTAAATCTTGAGGGATGCAAACACGTTTTTCTTAGCCAATGCTGAAAAGGGAATCACATCCAAATAAAAATGCCAAGAGCAATGGTTATGCACAATTAAGTTTCAAGAATGCTGGAATTAAATGATTCATCTGGGCATAATATAATCTCTATGCCTCACATGGTACACTTAAATAAATTTAAGGACAGCCAGCTAAATAGTACACACAGCAAGCAACTCAACACCTATAAGATAAGAGCTATCACTGAGTAAGTATCACCTGACATACAGACAAGACTCAAGAAGACATCAACAGAGAGCCGGCAGGTGGATGGGGTATCAGTACTACACCATCTGGCTGTGAGTTGGTCCACAGGAGAGCTGAGCTGGGAACAGGTGGATCAGATATTGAAGAAGAGGAAACATTGGCTCTGTTTTGTCATCAGGTGGGCGTCTCTGGTGCTGCCTGCAGAGTGGCAGGCAGTTTATTTGCAGGCAGCTTCTAGGTCTGGAGGAATAATGATGACAGGTAGACTCAAAAGCACTGATTAACATTTTTTTTTAAGAGTTGGAGTCTCACTCTGTCACTCAGGCTGGAGTACAGTGGCGCAATCTCGGCTCACTGCAACCTCCGCCTCCCGGATTCTAGCAATTCTCCAGCCTCAGCCTCCCGAGTAGCTGGGATTACAAGCACATGCCACCACTCCCAGCTAATTTTTTATATTTTAGTAGAGACGGGGCTTCACCGTGTTGTCCAGGCTGGTGTCAAACTCCTGAGCTCTGGCAATCCACCCGCCTCGGCCTGCCAAAGTGCTAGGATTACAGGCGTGAGCCACCGTGCCCAGCCTGGGTAACATTTTTCTATTTTAAAGGTGATAATGTGGAGAAAGGGACATATTTCAGAGAAATTGCTTTTTCTCCATGTGTTTTCATGTAGGGTGATACCTTCAGATAAACTTTATTCTTTATCAGGATCATATCTACACAATTCCAGACACATTAAAATTGATTTTTACAGGAAAGCAACCAAAATTACACTGCTGTTTTCTCATGTAAAAATACACTTCAGATTTTAAAGTTCTTTAATAAACAGGAAATTTAATCATGCTCATTTTAAAATATTTATGGAGTAAAAGATTAGCAAATATTGCCTGACATCTTCTGCCTGGTGAGGTCATGCGCTAGAAGGCATGGTCACTGTTCTCAGGGAGTTTTCAGTCTTGGGACACCATGATTGTGCCAGGAGTTCCGTGTGAACACTCCATAGCCAGGCTAACTTGACTTGAAACACAATCTCCACTGTCTTTTAACTTTGTAGTTATAAACCCATTACTTTACCTCAAGGATTCTCACTTTTTCAAAACAGTGAGATCTCTTCCATTAAATGTGATACTGTACTTAACATCTTTACTAATAGTCTAATCATAAGTAAACAAACTTTTAACTTGTTAATATCTGAAACAGTAAACAATACAAGACAATAAAATTAAGTTTAAGATTGTATGTACACACTTGTGTTGAGGGATTCAGAGAAAATGTAATTAATGGATAAAATGCCTGCACGGCACATGCTCATATCTGGGGTGTTCACTCACTGTGGTCTAATGTGTTGAGAATACAGCCTAAGGGATATGGAAAATTTCATCCAGCTAATACCTGTAATGTTTTCTGTCTTTTTGATCCTGAGGTTTCTACAATGGATTGAGAAGCTTAAGATGAGAATCAAACATGGATTCTCCTCTTAATTTCCTGAGGGGAGATGAGATAATAGCACTAATAATGATAGTAATATTAACAGCTCACACTTAAGTGGCTTCTTGGTGCCATTCTTTCAAAGCACCTTATATACATTGATTCATAATTATCCACATAGCATACATGAAGAAACTGAGGCACATAAAGGTTAAATAACTCATCTAAAATTATAAAGATAGTAAACAGTAAAACAAATATAGGAACTCACGTAGTCTTATTGGTGTCCTTGCTACCATAAAAGAGTTTTAATAGCATTGGAACTGAACCTTGAAAGGAGACTAAAACTTACACAGCCACAGATAGAAAAGAACAGGAATAATTTGAGGGAGACTGGGATAAAAATAAATGTTAATTAGAAGAGAGAAAATTCCCTGGTTAAACCTTACCACAATCCCCTGCTCTCCATAGCCTAAAGCCACATCAATGAATACATATCTTGAGAGAGAGAGACATCTGACAGAGATAGAGAAAGAGAGCCAGTCACTCAACTTTACCAGCCTACCTCTATCCTCACTGGCCACCCTCAAAATTATAAATGTTTTAGAACATTTTCTTTTCTTTTTTTCTCTCTTACATTCTTCAGCAGAACTTTAGAAAACTTTTAAAACTACTCCCCCACTTCTATCCTATTTATAAAGATTTGCTGACATAGCTTACATTGAAAATTTCTAATCATTCTATTTTTAATCCACTTGGACTTAACCAGATAATGGAAATAAACATATCTTTTTAAATGATACTCCTATCCTCTGAGGAATACAATGGACCAAGTTCTCTGTATAGCCCTGAGGTGAATTAAAGTTGATTGTTGGCTCTTTCTTTCTGGGTCCCAGGAAAACATGGGTCACCAAAAACATCCTCTAAGCACGACCATCAGCTTTCCAGCTATTGAACTTCCAAGGAACATTATTTGGTGCTTGGATTGAAGTTGCAGAAGGAAAGGCAAATACATTAATTCAGATCACCATCTTCCCATCTGCAATCTCATTACCAACATATATTAGCCACATCCCATTCTCTTCTATCCTTTCCAAGTCTTTTCTCACGTGAGGATAGTGTCTGTTGAGTAATAACCCTTTTCCGTGAACCTCATGTATCCTCTAAAGGATGTGCTACCCCACAATAAAAGGCTCTTACAGATACCCAAGCATCTACTGTGCTACTCTTTATTTCTCAGTCTTTCTATATTTCTAGTATTTCCCTTCTGTTGCTTTTGGCTCCTACTCTTGCAATCATTCTTTTGACTCGTTTGTCCTGAATTTGTATCCAGGCTTTATTTAACTTTGGCATCTCTTCCAGAATATTAGTTTTAGGTGCCATGTGTCCCTACCTCGAAATGGACTGACTGTGGCTGCCTTCTCAACTCCTAAACCCTGCTCACTTACATCTGAAGCAGAAGAATCAGAGAGGATATAATAGATGCATTCAGCAGAACTATTGTGCAAGAAATTTGATTTGCTTTTGGCTACAGATGAAATCTTGAGAAAGCCTCTTATATAAGAATTCTATTGTAAGTATTTAGATGCTCCTGCAATAACAATAACTAATATACTACAGATATTTTAATTTGAAAGTTTCATCAATTTTGGCATCATATACTTGGGACTTCTACGTTACAGGGTTGCTATTAATGTGAAAAAAGGCTTTATAATGATTAATTTGAGGCAGTGAGATAATATTTAACCAGTAGTAATAATTAGACTCTATAGCTAGGAAGAGGAACACCCTGGGGAATCTAGCTGACAAGCCTAACATGTATGTTTTT
Organism: Homo sapiens; assembly: GCF_000001405.40. NCBI lineage: Eukaryota > Metazoa > Chordata > Mammalia > Primates > Hominidae > Homo > Homo sapiens. The sequence continues at coordinate 115,144,643 of NC_000006.12, forward strand.
TTCACAAGTTACTGTATTTCTCCAGTGTATCCAGGTCTCTTGTTTGATGAACATTCTATAAACACATGGATAATAAATTCTCTCAGAATGTTCACAGATCAAAAAATCAGTTGGGTACAGAAGAGCAGAATCTGTAAATGGAGGACAGATTTAATACACGGAAAAGTTATTGTTCACTTTAGGCTAAAGGAAAAATAAAAGAATCTGAAAGAGTACATTTGGAAATTTAAAATTTAGCTCTTAGCAATTATTGCAGATTATTTATTATCACCTCTCTTTATGTAGGCATTAAAAGACAGAGGTTAAAGACTTTTCCTAATTAGTGGGAGACTTCTGGTTCCTAGGTAAGAACAGTTGAGGAATTTTTCAGCCTGTAATACAACTGTATTGTCCATATGTAACAGCAATTTTTATATTTTACTAGACTGATAGAGATTTAACTGACTTCTCCACTAGACAAATAAATATTGCAACAGTTTCAGAGCTAAATCTCCCAAGGCTCTACAACCTCTACTTTTTCTCCTGACTTGCAATCTCCTCCTATTCCAATCTTCCATCAAAACAGACAAACAAACCAACCAAGGGGCTAAAGCAGCGAGTGGCTGATCAATCATCAAACCCTTATGATTGGGTGTAAGGTGGAGAAGAAACATTAAGAGGCAATACGGCACGATGATTATGAATTTAGGCTTTGGAGCCAAATTGCTAGGTTTGGAATTTTGTCTCTGCCATTCACCAGCTGTGTGACCTAAAGAAATTTGCCTAATTACTCTGTGCCTCAATTTCCTTATCTGTAAAATAGGTAAAGCTACTGAATGTACCTGAGGGTTTGTTATGGGAATTAAGTTTAAATTTTCAGAATAATTTTGATACTCTGAATTGAGACTGCTTAAAATGTGTCTAATACTGTAGAAATGTATTCTATAATTATAAATTGAGATAGTACAAACATAATGGTTTATGGTTTTGATTTTTAATCAGAAGCAAAATCATATATTTTTTTACCTGGAGCTGTTTAGACCAGTTTATGACAGTTGATCGATAAATTTTCAGAAATGTGAGCCAATTGATGTCGCCTTGGTAGCTTGATATCTGTCATGGTGAATTTTATACCACAAAAATCAGAAATTGGCCAGCAAATCCTACAAGTAAGCCCCTTCTCCCAGAGAAGTCACTGTGAAACATTACCTAGCACACCACTGGCTATGTTAGTGTTTTTAATTCTTTTTTTCAACAAATATTTGATAAGTGCCTGTTACATTCCGTGTGTGAGATGTATAAATGAACAAGACAAATATACAGCAACCAAGGACAGCAAAAAAATCCTTTATTGTTTTAAATAGATTTATTAAAGCAGCAGTTAAAAGTAAACCATTAAAAAATCCATTTCCTATGTTATATTCCTCTTTCCTTCAAGACATTGTAATAATAGGTCTTTAAGATGTGGTCTAAATAGATAGAGACATCTGTTCTGGGATTCCTGCTAGAATCCATGGTTTATTGACCACGTATCCCCAGCCTATGCACAATGACTGGCACACCTCAGGTACACAATAAATACTCATTGGATAAAAGGATAAATACAGAGGAGGTGTCTTGCAAAATCTCGAGGGTCAGAGCTGGGTTAGGAGTACCCGTCATCAGTCTTTTATAACTGGGTGATTGTGCTTTATGGTTATTAAATGTTTTTCTGTTTCTGTGCACACTGTCCATACCACAACTGTAAAAATTATCTACATAATAACTAAATTTAGAGATCAGACATGTTTACATTGTATGGGAGTAGTTCTAACTATATAACAGCAAATAATTACCTGCATGTACAAGCTACTGTTCTAAGCATTTTGCATAGATCACCTGAAATAATAGTGTTGAACTATACTGTGAGGTAGGTGGGTTCTGTCCCTATTTTACCAGTGAAGAAAGAAAAACAAAGAGAGCTTAAATTGCTCCAAATTACATTTCTAGGGGTAAAGATTTAGGTTTAAACAGTTTAGGTGTGTAACTAACACATTATTATTTTACAGCAAGTTGATTTATTTCACTTTTACCTCAGTTTTTCCTTTGATATTGGGAATTTTTCTCTAGAAAAAGCAAATTAACCTGTTGTTTCCTGACTTTTTAATGATCGCTATTCTAACTGCTGTGAGATGGTATCTCATTGTGGTTTTGATTTGCATTTCTCTGATTACCAGTGATGATGAGCATTTTTTCACGTGTCTGTTGGCTGCATAAATGTCTTCTTTTGAAGAAGTGTCTATTCATATCCTTTGTCCACTTTTTGATGGGGTTGTTTGATATTTTCTTGTAAATTTGTTCAAGTTCTTTGTAGATTCTGGATATTAGTCCTTTGTCAGATGGGTAGATTGCTGGAGAGGATGTGGAGAAATAGGAGTGATTTTACACTGTTGGTGGGAGTGTAAACTAGTGCAACCATTGTGGAAGACAGTGTGGCGATTCCTCAAGGATCTAGAACTAGAAATACCATTTGACCCAGCGATCCCATTATTGGGTATATACCCAAAGGATTATATATCATGCTGCTGTAAAGACACATGCACATGTATGTTTATTGTGGCACTATTCACAATAGCAAAGACTTGGAACCAAGCCATATGTCCATCAATGATAGACTGGATTAAGAAAATGTGGCACATATACTCCATGGAATACTATGCAGCCATAAAAAAGGATGAGTTCATGTCCTTTGTAGGGACATGGATGAAGCTGGAAACCATCATTCTTAGCAAGCTATTACAAGGACAGAAAACCAAACACTGCATATTCTCACTCATAGGTGGGAATTGAACAATGAGAACACTTGGGTGGGGAACATCACACACTGGGGCCTGTCGTGGGGTGGGGGGATGGGGGAGGGATAGCATCAGGAGAAATACCTTATGTAAATGATAAGTTGATTGGTGCAGCAAACCAACATGGCACATGTACACATATGTAACAAACCTGTGTGTTGTACACATGTACCCAAGAACTTAAAGTATAATTTAAACAAATAAGAAAGAAAATGCAAATTAACTTCTATAACTAAGCCAATTCCCTGAGTTGGTCCTTTCAGTTCACAGAAAAGGTAAAACAGAACACACCCCTTATAAAAGGCAATTCACAGATCAGCCCAGTTTTGTTTGAGGAGAGTCAACTCTCCAAAGCTGATTCAGAGGAAAGCTGACTCAGGCTGTTGGGACCTTGAATGGACAGAACATGTCCAGAGCTGTTCCTTTGTGTTTGGGGACAGCTAAAATCTAGCTGGGTCAGTAAGTAACTTTGCCAGTCAATCTTACGTTGTGAATTACCATCCTTAGGGATGGGATGTTCTTTTGTCTCAAAAACAAATTAGAGAAGGAAAAGACACCATGAAACATGTTGTTCTTCTACTCAAAATCTTTAATGACTTCCTTATTTCCTAGAGCAGTGGAAACATTTTCATTTGTTTTAAATATGGAGCATTTTGGTTTATATTTTTTAAATTTTGTTTTACAAATTGAATAACTCATTCAAGTAATAATACTACTATTAACAACAATACTACTAAACCTAGTATTACTAATAATACCCAAAGCTTAAATAATACTGACCAGTGCCAGTCACAGTTCTAAGAGAATGGATTTTTTAAAATATATATTTACTTAATCCTTTCAATAACACTTAATGGGTGTTTTTACAATAACGCACTTTAAGAAGTTAAATAATGTGCCAAGCTAGTACGTGGTAGATTCCTGTTATGTAATACATGTATAAAATGTCTAAATAGAAGCATATAATAATTTAAGTTGCACAATTACAAAGCTTGAAGGTCACTGTGCTTGAAAGTAAACTATTTGAAATTTGAAGAATATAGGTGTGGCAGGAGGGAGAAAGGGAGGAAAGATAAGAATCAAGAATTATTAGTGAGAATTGTGATTATCCATGACCTCTTCACATGTATTTTTTTGCTGCCCCCATTCACACAAGACCATACATTCTCATTGTTTCTAAACAACACCCTATTTCTCCCTTCTAAGCCTATTCCCTTCACTCCTTCTAACTGAGATGCTTTTTCGTCAAACAGCACTTCTGTAAACCCTACCCATCCTGTTCAAGGTCACTATTGTGTGGTACTCAATCCAGAGGGTATCCCCTGCCCTTAGGTAGAGGCCATGTGGGATCCACCACTCTCAGCCCTGCAGTCCTATGGCATTTTACCTCATTTAGAGATGGCTTCCTAACCTGATAGTGTTTGCAAAAAAAAAAAAAAAAAAAAAAAAAAGTCCCTCATTAACTTCAGTATTTAGAAGTAGGGAAACATGACTTATTGTCTTTTTCTCTCCCAAAATAGATGTAGTATTGCAAAAGAAACATTTTCTAGCAATTAGAGTTGACCATCAGTGAAAAGCTGAACTCTAATAAGCTCAAATCAGTAATAACTGACTAATGAAGACATTATTAGGAGAACATAATAACTACATTTTATAATATTGAAAATGGGATCAACATATATTTTAAAAAGTAAATGTATGTAATTACTAAATACAGTCTTTAGTCATTACACTATTGATTTTTTCACTTTTGAAAATTAATCATTCGAAGTGGAGTCAACTTTAGAAATTTTTAAAATAAAAACTGACCGATATATTAGAGACATCCAGTATTGCCTCTTACTTCACAGCCAAGATTCACAGGACTTTGCTTCCCCAATTTTCATATTGTGAGTCAACTTCCCCCATGATACTTTGACCTGAGCATGTTAAGGTACAGTGAGCATTTACATTTACATCCCCTTACCTAGAAAATAGTAACTGTGACGTAAACAATAAGTTGAATAAATGTAACTCAAAGAATACTAAATGCATGAAAGAATGAGAAATTATATAACTTGACTTGCAAACTGCATTTTCTATCCAACGTTCCTTCTAGCCTACTAGTTTTTGTCTCTAAGGTTGTTGCTGCTGACTATTTCAATCTTAAAAATATATTAGTGAATAAGTGTTATAAGCTAATATTATAAACACGCAGAGACATAAGTCTTTTTCCTTGACACAGATGTAAGAAAATGGGCTAAAAATATTACCTTATAAAGAAAAGAAACAATAGTTTTGCATAAAATGTTTCAATCTTCGGTAAAGCATAAAAAATGTTGATATCTTCCAGTATGCAAAAGTTTTTATACATGTTTATTCTATGTTTTCCTTGTGTAAAACATGTTACTGTATTAAAACAAGTAAATTAATTCCACCTAGATCATTTTTATATTTTGAAACACTAAAAATCTAACAACTGAGACATCTAACTAGGAAATTATGATCAATGCATTAGGAAAACAAATTTCCACACTTCATTTATAAGTTTAGTGTTTTTAAGTCTAAGTTACATATTTTGTAGTACACTTAAGTATTCTGACCTAGAATTAATATGGAAACCCTGAAAATATATGGAATTTTGCTTTGCATATTTTCACAGAAGTCATGTTTTGGTCCTAAAGAAAAGAAAATTTTCTAATGTTTGCCATCCCAGAACAATGATGAAATATATACATAGGTCTAAAGTAGTGAGAGGCAAACTATGACATCCTTGCAAAGGGACAAAGAAAATATTTAAGTAAATTTTGTGGCTAGCTATTGTAAATGGGAACTTCATAACTTGAACTTGGGGAAGAAAGAACATCATTTATCATTTACAGATGTAATTATGTTCTTTATAACAGACTGATGTGAATAATTACCAGGTAATTTTGCCAGCCTTCAATTTAAAAGCCTGTAGTTCTGTTATAAGAAAGCAAAGACCATGAACAATTCAGACTTTCTAAATCTTTGTAATCTAAAGACCTGTGGTATATCATTTTCTGTGTTTCCTGGATTCCCAGGAGAATATTGGCTATCAATGAACAGTTGATTCTTTTTTATTTTATTTTTACATAAGTTATTGGCATACAGGTGGTATTTGGTTACATGAATAAGTTCTGTAGTGGTGATTTGTGAGACTTTGGTGCACCCATCACCCAAGCAGTATACACTGCACCACATTTGTCATCTTTTATCCTTTGTGCTCCTCCCGCCCTTTCCCCCAAGTCCCCAAAGTCCATTGTATCATTCTTATGCCTTTGTGTCCTCATTGCTTAGCTCCCACGTATAAGTGAGAACATAAAATGTTTGGTTTTTCATTCCTGCCTTACTTCACTTAGAATAATAGTCTCCAATGTCATCCAGGTCATTGAAAATGCTGCTAAATCATTCCTTTTTATGGCTGCGAAGCACTCCTTTGTACACATTTACCACAGTTTCTTTATCCACTTGTTGATTGATGGGCATTTAGGTTGGTTCCACGATTTTGCAATGGTGAATTGTGCTGCTATAAACATGCATGTGCAAGTGTCTTTTTCGAATAATGACTTCTTTTCCTCTGGGTAGACACCCAGTAGTGGGATTGCTGGATCAAAAGGTAGTTCTACATTTAATTCTTTAAGGAAACTCCACACTCTTTTCCACAGTGGCTGTACGAGTTTACATTCCCACCAGCAGTGTAGAAATGTTCCCTGTTCACCGCACCCATGCCAACATCTACTGTTTTATGACTTTTTGATTATGGCCATTCTTGGAGGAGTAAGGTGGTATCACATTGTGGTTTTGATTTGCATTTCTCTGATCATTAGTGATGTTGAGCATGTGTTCATATGTTTGTTGGCTATTTGTATATCTTCTTTTGAGAATTGTCTATTCATATCCTTAGCCCACTTTTTGATGGTATTTTTTTTTCTTACTGATTTGTTCGAGTTTGTTGTCGATTCTGGATATTACTCCTTTCTCGGATGTACAGATTGTGAAGATTTTCTCCCAGTTTGTGGGTTGTCTGTTTACTCTGCTGACTATTCCTTTTGCTGTGCAAAAGCTCTTTAGTTTATTTAGGTCCCAGCTATTTCTTTTTGTTTTTATTGCATTTGCTTTTGGGTGCTTGGTCATGAAATCCTTGCCTAAGCCAATGTCTAGAAGGGTTTTTTTCCAGTGTTATCTTCTAGAATTTTTATAGTTTCAGGTCTTAGATTTAAGTCTTTAATCCATCTTGAGTTAATTTTTGTATAAGGTGAGAGGGGAGGATTCAGTTTTATTCTCCTACATGTGGCTAGCCAATTATCCCAGGGCCATTTGTTGAAAAGGATGTCCTTTCCCCACTTTATGTTTTTGTTTGCTTTGTTGAAGATCAGTAGGCAGTTATTATTTGGGGTTATTTCTGAGTTCTCTATTCTGTTCCACTGGCCTATGTGCCTATTTTTATACCAATATCATGCAGTTTTGGTGACTATGGCCTTATAATATAGTTTGAAATCAGGTGGTGTGATGCCTCAAGATTTGTTCTTTTTGCTTAGTCTTGCTTTGACAATGCAGGCTCTTTTTTGGCTCCATATGAATTTTAGAATTGTTTTTTCTAATTCTGCGAAGAATGGTGGTGGTATTTTAAAGAGAATTTCACTGAATTTGTAGATTGTTTTTGGCAGAATGGTCATTTTCACAATATTGATTCTACCCGTCCATGAGCATGGGATGTGTTTCCATTTGCTCATGTCATCTATGATTTCTTTCAGCAGTGTTTTCTGTAACGGTCTTTGGACTGTTTGGTTAGGTATATTCCTATTTTAATTTTTTTGTAGCTATTACAAAAAAGGGTTGAGTTCTTGATTTGATTCTCCACTTGGACGCTGTTGGTGTATAGAAGAGCTATTGATTTGTGTATATTATGTATCCAGAAACTTTGCTGAATTCTTTTATCAGTTCTAGGAACTTTCTGGAGGAGTCCTTGGGGTTTTCAAGGTAAACGATCATATCATCAGCAAACAGTTACAGTTCGACTTTCTCTTTACTGATTTGAATGCCCATTATTTCTTTCTCTGGTCTGATTGCTCTGGCTAGGATTTCCAGTACTATGTTGAAGAGGAGTGGTGAGAGTGGGCATTGTCTTGTTCAATTTTCACAGGGAATGCTTTCAACTTTTCCCCATTCAGTATTATGTTGGCTGTGGTTTGTCATAGATGGCTTTTATTACATTAAGGCTTGTCCCTTGTATGCCGATTTTGTTGAGAGTTTTAATCATAAAGGGATGCTGGATTTTGCTGAATTCTTTTCTGCATCTATTGAGATGACCATGTGATTTTTGTTTTTAATTCTGTTTATGTGGCTTATCACATTTATTGACTTGCATATGTTAAACCATCCCTGCATCCCTGGTATGAAACACACTTGATCATGGTGAGCTGTCTTTTTGATATGTTGTTGGATTCAGTTAGCTAGTATTTTATTAAGGATTTTAGCATCTATGTTCATCAATGATATTGGTCTGTAGTTTTCTTTTTTGGTTGTGTCCTTTCCTAGTTTTGGTATTAGAGTGATGCTGGCTTTATAGAACGAGTTAGGGAGGGTTCCTTCTTTCTCCATCTTGTGGAATAGTGTCAAAAGGATTTGTATGAACTCTACTTTGAATGTCTGTTGTGAATCCGTCTGGTGCTGGACTTTTCTTTTTGGTAATTTTTGCATTACCATTTCAGTCTCGCTGCTTATTTGTGGTCTTTTCAGGGTATCTAATTCTTACCTTTTTTAAGCTAGGAGAGTTGTATTTTTCCAGGATTTTATCCATGTGTTCTAGGTTTTCTAGTTTATGTGCATAAAGGTGTTCATAATAGCCTTGAATGATCTTTTGTATTTCAGTGGTGTCAGTTGTAATAACTCTTGTTTTCTTATTGAGGTTATTTGGATTTTCTCTTTCTTTCTTGGTTAATCTTGCTAACGGTCTATCAATTTTATTTACCTTTTCAAAGAAATAGCTTTTTGTTTCATTTATCTTTTGTAATTTTTTTGTTTGTTTCAATTTTATTTAGTTCTGTTCTGATCTTGGTTATTTACTTTCTTCTACTGGGTTTGGGTTTGGTTGGTTCTTGTTTCTCTACTTCCTTGAGATGTAGCCTTAGATTGTTTGTGCTCCTTTGGACTTTTTGATGTAGGCATTTAAGCTATGAACTTTCCTCTTAGCACCATATTTGCTGTATCCCAGAGGTTTTGAAGGTTGTGTCATTATTGTCATTCAAGTCAAATAATTTTTTAACTTTCATCTTTATTTGGTTTTGACCCAGTGCTCATTCAGGAGCAGGTTATTTAATTTCCATGTATTTGCATGGTTCTGAAGGTTCCTTCTGGAGTTGATTTCCAGTTTTCTTCCACTGTGGTCTGAGAAAGTGCTTGATAAAATTTGATTTTTTAAAAATTTATTGAGGCTTGTTTTATGGCCTATCATATGGTCTATCTTAGAGAAAGTTACATGCACTGAATAGGTGTATATGAATGTGTATTCTGCAGTTATTGGATGAAATGTTCTGTATATATCTGTTAATTTGTTCCAAGGTATAGTTTAAATCCATTGTTTCTTTGTTGACATTCTGTCTTGATGACCTGTCTAGTGCTGTCAGTGGAGTATTGAAGTCCCCCACTATTATTGTATTGTTGCCTATCTCATTTCTTAGGTCAAGTAGTAATTGTTTTACAAATTTGGGAGCTCCAGTGTTAGGCACATACGTGTTTAGGATTGTGATACTTTCCTGTTGTAAAGGTCTTTTACCATTATATAATGTCCCCCTTTGTCTCTTTTAACCACTGTTGCTTTAAAGTTTGTTTTGTCCGATATAAAAATAGCAATCCCTGCTTGCTTTTGGTGTCCATTTGTATGAAATGCCTTTTTCCACCCTTTAAGTTTATGTGAGTCCTTATGTACTATGAGTCTCCTGAACGCAGCAGATAGTTGGTTGGTGAGTTCTTATTCATCCCATGGTCCTGTATCTTTCAAGTGGAGCATTTAGGCCTTTTACATTCAATGTTAGTGTTGAAATGTGAGGTACCATTGCATTCATCATGCTCTTTGTTGCCTAAGTACTTTGGGGGGTTTTTGTTGTTGTTTTTTGCTTTTGCTTTTTAGCTTGTATTTTTGTTTTATAGGTCCCGTGAGATTTATGCTTTAAAGAGGTTCTGTTTTGATGTGTTTCCAGGATTTGTTTCACGATTTAGAGCTCCTTTTAGCAGCTCTTGTAGTTGAGGCTTGGTAATGGCAAATTCTCTCAGCATATCTTTGTCTGAAAATGACTGTATCTTTCTTTCATATATGATGCTTAGTTTTGCTGGATACAAAATTCTTGGGTGATAATTGTTTTTTTTTTTTTTTTTTTTTGAGGAGGCTGAAGATAGGGCCCCAATTCCTTCTAGCTTTTATGGTTTCTGCTGAGAGATCTGGTGTTAATCTGATAGGTTTTCCTTTATAGGTTACCTGGTGCTTCTGTCTCACAGCTCTTAAGATTCTTTCATTTTAACATTGGATAACCTGATAATAATGTGCCTAGGTGATGATTTTCTTTGTGATGAATTTCCCACGTGTCCTTTGTGCTTCTTGTATTTGGATGTTTAGGTCTCTAGCTAGGCTGGGGAAGTTTTCCTCAATTATTCCCCCAAATATGTTTTTCAAGCTTTTAGGGTTCTCTTCTTCCTCAGAAAGGCCAATTATTCTTAGATTTGGTCATTTAACATAACCCTTTACTTCTTGGAACCTTTGTTCATGTTTTCATATTTTTTCTTGGTCTCTGTTGGATTAGGTTAATTAGAAGACCTTGTCTTTGAGCTCTGACTTTCTTTCTTCTACTGTTCAATTCTATTGCTGAGACTTTCCAGAGCATTTCACATTTCTAAAAGTGTATCCAAAGTTTCCTGAATTTTTTATTGTTTTTTTCTTTAAGCTATCTATTTCATTGACTATTTCTCCCTTCACTTCTTGTATCGTTTTTTGGAATTTTCTTTCATTGGGCTTCATCTTTCTCTGGTGTCTCCCTGATTAGCTTAATAACTAACCTCCTGAATTCTTTTTCAGGTAAATCAGGGATTTCTTCTTGATTTGAATCCATTGCTGGTGAACTAGTGTGATTTTTTGGGGGGTGTTGAAGAGCCTTGTTTTGTCATATTACCATGGTTGGTTTTCTGGTTCCTTCTCATTTGGGTAGGCTCTGTCATATGAAAGGTCTAGGGCTGAAAGGCTGTTGCTCAGATTCTTTTGTCCCATGGGGTATTCCCTTGATATAGTACTTCCCCTCTTTTCCAATGGATGTAGCTTCCTATGAGCCGAACTGCAGTGATTATCATCTCTCTTCTGGGTCTAGCCACCCAGCAAGTCTATGGGGCTCTGGGCTGGTTCTGGGGGTTGTCTGCACAGAGTCCTGTGATATGAACCATCTATGGGTCTCTCAGCTGTGGATACCAGTGCCTGTTCTGGTGGAGGTGGCAGAGGGTGCAATGGACTCTGTGAGGGTCCGTAGCTTTGGTGGTTTAATGCTCTATTTTTGTGCTGGTTGGCCTCCTGTCAGGAGGTCTTTCCAGAAAGCATCAGCTGTAATAGTGTGGTGAGGGACTGGTGTTGGGCGGGGTCCTAGAACTCCCAAGATTCTATGCCATTTTTCTTCCACTACCAGGATGGATAGGAAAGAACCATCATGGGGGGCTGGGGCTAGGCATGTCTGAGCTCAGACTCTCCTTGGGCAGATCTTGTCATGGCTGCTATGGGGAATGGGAGTGAGATTCCCAGGTCACTGGAGTTGTGTACTTAGGAGGATTATGGCTGCCTCTGCTGAGTCATGCAGGTTGTCAGAGAAGTCACGGAAAACCAGCAATCACAGGCCTCACCCAGCATCCATGCAAACCAAAGAGTCAGTCTTATTCCCACTGTGCCCCCACCAACATCTCTGAGTCCATTTCCAGGTGGAAGATGAGAAGGGCTTGAAAACTTGCCCAAGGCTATCCGCCTCCCAGCTGTGAAAGGACCTGTGAAGTCTGCACACCTGATTCATGGCCTTCTGTGAGTTCTGGCCAGGAGGCTTCTCCCCACATTCAAATTGTTACAATGTTTGGCTAGAGAATTCTTTCTCTCTGTGGACGTTTACCCCCTGCTCCTCTGGCTACCCTCCCAATGGATCCCTGTGGTGCCAGGCAGGAATGGGCTGCTTGGGGACCCAGCGAGCTCCCAGTGCCTTTCTCCTGCTTCTTCTACCCCTGTATTTCACTCAGCTCTCTAACTTGACTCAGCTCCAGGTCAAGTCAGAAACTTCTCCCACAAACAGACCTTCAGCTTCTCCAGCAGTGGTGTGTGTTCAGGACAGGAAAGTCTCCCTTTCCCACTTCTGCAGTTGGGGCACTTATAGTATTTGGGGCATCTTCCAGGTCCTGCCGGAGCAGACCACTTCCTTCAGAGGGTCTGTGGGTCCTCTTGGGATTGCTGGTTTGTTCTTGCAGTCTATCTGGAGCTAATATTCACAATGCAAGCCTCTGGATGCTACTCTGTCTGGAGCTGCAATCTATTCCTGCCCACATCCACCATGATCCAATAGTTGACTCTTGAGCAACATGGGTTTGACCTGTATGGGTCCACTTATACATGAATTTTCTTTTGCCTTTGCCACCCCTCATATTACAAAACCAACCAATCTTCCTCCTTCCCCTCCTCCTCAGCCTACTCAACATAAAGAAGTTGAGGATAAAGACCTGTATAATGACCTGTTTCTACTTAATGAATGTAAATACACTTTCTTTTCCTTATGATCTTAATAATTTTTCTCTCTTACTTTGTTATAAGAATACAGTATATAATACTTATAAAAATATGTATTATCCAGTATGTGTTATCAAAATATGTTTTACAAAATATGTATTGACTGCTTATGTTATTGGTAAGGTTTCTAGTCAACAGTAGGCTTTTAGTAGTTAGTTTGCTGGGGAGTCAAAAGTTATATGTGAATTTTTGACTGTGCAGATTATCAGTGTCTCTAACCCCCACATTGTTCAAGGGTCAGTTGTACCTGTGTGCAATTATTTATCAATGGTGCTTTCTATGTATCTGTGTCTCTTAGCTTTCCTCCTCCTATTTCTTCCTTAGAATGACATTGTTTGCATATAGAGATCATAGAAACATGAAACCCAAATTCAGATTCAGTTTTGCATTCTAAATAACAAACTTTTAGAAATTTCAGTGAGAATCCAATAGCTGTCTATACATTAAATATCGACTTTGACATCCTCAAACTCTCTTACATGGCCCATATTCAAATTCAAAACATAAAAATCATATATATAAAAATATATATACACACACGCGCTATATATCGAAGTATGTATATGTTTGTGTGTGTGTGTATATGTGTGTGTGTGTGTGTATATATATATATAGTGTGTGTGTGTGTAAAGTTAATTTTGAAGTTAATATTCCTGAGAGGTTTATACTATAACTAATGACAAAGAGGCAGATGATATTTTGGTTCTAGTAAAAAAAAAATATGCTAGTGAGGAAAACAAACATACAAGAACACCAAAACTTATGACGTGATAGTTGAAATCCTCTTTTATAATAAAAGCATGTTTACACCAGGTTCCGTTTCAGCATTTGATATGTTGCAAATATTTTTATTGAAGTTATTCCATCAGAGCTGTTTTAACACATTGATCACCTAATTTTGTTTTCACTCTGAATGCTGATTAATGATATGAAACCTGCCATTACAATGGATTGCGGAAAATGCATTGTGAGATGCCAGTTAGGATATTGAGGACATTTCACAACTTTTAGGGCAGAGCTTGCCAAAATGCAATCTATTCAAAAGCAGCCAGGAAAATATTTCTTCCTTGTTTATGGATGATGCCATGTAGTTTTACTGACTCATAATGGAGCTATAGCCTTTTTATTCTGACAATTAAACACCAAAAAGAAAAATAAAACTGCTGTGTGGGGTCTTCCCTCATAAATGGCTTCATGTTAAGATTTCCTATCTAAGACCCACAACAAGTCTGATGTCTGGAAAAGCAAAACTTTCCTTTGGTATAATAAAAGATGTTTATAAGAAAAGGAAGCATATTAATCACAGAAATAAGTGCAGGCTGAGTTATTTTGAAGCAAAATTAAAATTTATAAAATCAAAGAAAAAATCTGCATGTTAATTTTTCTAAATATGCAAACTTTATCTATTTAGCAAAAATAAAAATATGATCACCAATATGCTTTTCACAGAAATGCCATCAGTGCATTGATTAGAATGTATTAGATCTCTAGAGAGAATGAGTACTTTTTTTCTATCACAACCCATAAGCACAACTTATAATAAGAGACCACACACACTAATAGATTTATCAAAAAAAGGAGAAATAGCATTTAGAGATGCAAAACATCATTTTGAGGTTTTCCAGGTACCATAATGATAGTTTTTCTTACCACTGAATATTCATGACACCTCATAAAACTAATGATAAACATAAAAATTGATGTGAACATTTGACTAATCTGCTCTTATTTGTTTGGAAGAGCTGTCGTAATTGCCTGGTTTGTAAATTAAACATCTGCTATGGAAATAAACAAAAACATAACTGAGCATATTCAAATAAATTGAATTCACTCTGGTTTCATAAATTTTATTATATGGGCTCATCACTTTTATTACACCTGAGTGCAGCATTGCTGTCAAAGTGAATGCATTTTTAGATGTCCTATTTGTAAGAATAAATGCTTTCTTTTTCTAATAAAATGCAGGTATTATTTAGATCATTTTTAAAGAAGCATTTCAATAGCCAAGCTCAATAGATTGATGCGACATGCCATATTGGTTGAACATGAGTGGGAGCTCCACTACCAGCTTCCTTAAGAGTTTCAGTGGACCATTAAAATCATGTCTATATTGAAGCAGCACATATCAAACAAGATAACAATAATTTCACTTTAGCCAAATTAATCTGTCTAATGTTAGGCAAAGCCATATTTTTCTAGCTTCTTAACCATATAAAATGAAACATATTGCAGAACAATTAACCAGATCAAGGGACACAGTGAAAGAAACCAAGTGGGCTTGGCAAAATATGAGAGTCATGCATTTGATGTAATTATATATTTTTTCTTCTGTAGACAATTTCTTAGTGCTGCATACCTACTAAAATGATTTATATCAATATTTCACTTTTCTGTAGAGATTACCAAGTTAAATTTAGTATTTAAAGCAACAGACAGTAAGTCATAGCTAGAAATAACACTTTGCTGCTACAGCTACTAAACCCAATATTAGAATGACTGCCTGTGAAAGGAAATTATGGAAAGTAGCATAAGACAGAATATAAAATGGCTTAGAAATCCCTGACTTTGGATATTTGTAAGTTGTGTTCCACATTATTCTGAGAATTATAAAATGACAACAAAAGACATATTGTGTGATGATTCCCCTTCAATGTTTGCATAAAAATGACACAAATATGCTGACATAGTAGATTTCCTTTTAAAAAGAAAAGCAGAAATTTCAGTTAGCAAGGAAACTCAAAACTTCAAATTTACTTCATTGATATTACAGGTGCTGACCTAGAGGCTTGATGCCTGTTACTCTGACAAGCTAGGCCTTTTTCTGGTTCCTACTTTCTCTAAGAAAGGAAGCAATTCCATCATTGCTCAATCAGGAGCTGTGTAACCTGAAGGAGGCCTCTGGAAGCTTCAAGAAGGGATATTCTCTTGACTGCAATTTGTCAGAAACTCCAATTATGAAATGTATTTCACTGAGGACTTCTCATTTCTAGGTTTCTGTTATAAACTGAGAAAGACTTTTGAGTCAAGCAGGTAATGGCAAGATTTTAATCAAGGTTCCAGGCCAATGATTCAGAAATTGAACCACCCAGTAATCTAAAAAATTCATATAATGTGAAAGAAAAAAATCACCAATATTTTCTGAGAGAAACAAAATCAAACACAGATGATGGGTTCATGCAAAGACAGTGTCTGATTAGATCTAATTTGATTCATTAGTAAATTGTCACTGACTCAGAACATTTTAAAAAATTCATATCATACCCAGCTGGAGAAAACATGGAAGAAATACCAACCGCAACTGGTATACTGTTCAAGAAGATTTGATTTAGTAACAACAATACTCTTAGAGAGGAAATTCATCTTGTTTTAGTCCACTAGATATGCTTTTAACAGTACCTGAAATAGTTATTGTTTAATTTTTTTATACTTTAAGTTTTGAGATATATGTGTAGAACATGCAGGTTTGTTACATAGGTATACACGTGTCATGGTAGTTTGCTGCACCCATCAACCCATCACCTATGTTAGGTATTTCTCCTAATGCTATCCCTTCCCTAGCCCCCCACCCCCTGACAGGCCCTGGTGTTTGATGTTCCCCTCCCTGTGTCCATGTGTTCTCATTGTTCGAATCCCACTTATGTGTGAGAATGTGCAGTGTTTGCTTTTCTCTTCCTTTATTAATTTGCTGAGAATGATGGTTTCTAGCTTCATCGATGTTCCTGCAAAAGACATGAATTCATCCTTTTTTATGGCTGCATAGTAATCCATGGTGTATATGTGCCACATTTTCTTTATCCAGTCTACCATCGATGGGCATTTGGGTTGGTTTTAAGTCTTTGCTATTGTGAATAGTGCTGCAATAAACATACTTGTGCATGTGTCTTCAAAGTAGAATGATTTATAATCCTTTTGATATATACCCAGTAACGGGACTGCTGGGTCAAATGGTATTTCCGGTTCTAGATCCTTGAGGAATTGCTACACTGCCCTCCACAATGGTTGAACTAACTTACACACCCACCAACAGTGTAAAAGTGTTCCTATTTCTCCACATCCTTTCCAGCATCTGTTGTTTCCTGAATTTTTAATGATCGCCATCCTAACTGGCATGAGATGGTATCTCACTGTGGTTTTGATTTGCATTTCGCTAATGACCAGTGACGACGAGCTTTTTTTCATATGTTTTTTGGCTGTGTAAATACCTTCCCTTGAGAAGGGTCTGTTCATATACTTCACCTACTTTTTGATGGGTTTTTTTCTTGTAAATGTGTTTAAGTTCCTTGCAGATTCTGGATATTAGCCCTTTGTCAGATGGATAGATTGCAAAAAATTTCTCCCATTCTGTAGGTTTTCTGTTCACTCTGATGATAGTTTCTTTTGCTGTGCAGAAGCTCTTTAATTACATCCCATTTTTTAATTTCGGCTTTTGTTGCCATTGCTTTTGGTACTTTAGTCATGAAGTCTTTGCCCATGCCTACGTCCTGAATGGTATTGCCTAGGTTTTCTTCTAGGGTTTTTATGGGTTTTGGTCTTACGTTTAAGTCTTTAATTCATCTTGAGTTAATTTCTGTATAAGGTGTAAGGAAGGGATCCAGGTTCAGTTTTCTGCATATGGCTAGACAGTTTTCCCAACACCATTTAGGGAATCCTTTCCCCATTGCTTGTTTTTGTCAGGTTTGTCAAAGATCAGATGGTTGTAGATGTGTGGCGTTATTTCTGAGGCATCTGTCCTGTTCCATTGGTCTATATATCTGTTTTGGTACCAGTACCATGCTGTTTTGGTTCTGTAGCCATTAGTATAGTTTAAAGTCAGGTAGCATGATGCCTCCAGCTTTGTTGTTTTTGCTTAGGATTGTTTGGGCTATACAGGCTGTTTTTGGTTCCACATGAAATTTAAAGTAGCTTTTTCTAATTCTGTGAAGAAAGTCAATGGTAGCTTGATGGGGATAGTGTTGAATCTATAAATTACTTTGGGCAGTATGGCCATTTTCAAGATATTGATTCTTCCTATCCATAAGCATGGGATGTCTTTCCATTTGTTTGTATCCGCTCTTATTTCCTTGATCAGTTTTTAGTTCTCCTTGAAGAGGTCCTTCACATCACTTGTAAATTGCATTCTTAGGTATTTTATTCTCTTTGTAGCAATTGTGAATGGGAGTTCACTCATGATTTGGCTCTCTGTTTGTCTATTACTGCTGTATAGGAATGCTTGTGATTTTTGCACATTGATTTTGTATCCTGAGACTTTGCTGAAGTTGCTTATCAGCTTAAGGAGATTTTGCGCTGAGACGATGGGGTTTTCTAAATATATAAATCATGTCATCTGCAAACAGAGATAATTTGACTTCCTCTCTTCCTATTTGAATAGCCTTTATTTCTTTCTCTTGACTGACTGCCCTGGCCAGATCTTCCAATACTATGTTGTAATAGGAGTGGTGAGAGAGGGCATCCTTGTCTTGTTCCAGTTTTCAAAGGGAATGCTTTCAGCTTTTGCCCATTCAGTATGATATTGGCTGTGAGTTTGTCATAAATAGCTCTTATTATTTTGAGATATGTTCCATCAATACCTAGCTTATTGAGAGTTTTTAGCGGGAAGCGGTGTTGTATTTTGTCGAAGGCCTTTTCTGCATCTATTGAGATAATCATCCGGTTTTTGTCTTTGGTTCTGTTTATGTGATGGATTACATTTATTGATTTGCATATGTTGAGCCAGACTTGCATTCCAGGGATGAAGCCGACTTGATCGTGGTGGATAACCTTTTTGATGTACTGCTGGATTCGGTTTGCCAGTATTTTATTGAGGATTTTCAAATCGATGTTCATCAGGGATATTGACCTAAAATTTTCTTTTTTTGTTGTGTCTCTGCCAGGTTTTGGTATCAGGTTGATGCTGGCCCCATAAAATGAGTTAGGGAGGAGTCCCTTTTTTTTCTATTGTTTGGAATAGTTTCAGAAGGAAAGGTACCAGCTCCTCTTTTTACCTCTGGTAGCATTCAACTGTGAATCCATCTGGACCTGGGCTCTTTTTGGTTGGTACGCTATTAATTACTCTCTCAACTTCAGAACTTGCTATTGGTCTATTCAGGGATTTGATTTCTTCCTGGTTTAGTTTTGGGAGGGTGTATGTGTCCAGGAATTTATCAATTTCTTCTAGATTTTCTAGTTTATTAGCATGGAGGTGTTTATAGTATTCTCTGATGGTAGTTTGTATTTCTGTGGGATCAGTGGTGATATCCCCTTTATTATGTTTTATTGTGTCTATTTGATTCTTCTCTCTTTTCTTCTTTATTAGTCTGTCTAGCAGTCTATGTATTTTGTTGATCTTTTCAAAAAAGCAGCTCCGGATTCATTAATTTTTTGAAGGGTTTTTCATGTCTCTAGCTCCTTCAGTTCTGCTCTGATATTAGTTACTTCTTGTCTTCTGCTAGCTTTTGAATTTGTTTGCTCTTGCTTCTTTAGTTCTTTTAATTGCGATGTTACGGTGTCGATTTTAGATCTTTCCTGCTTTCTCCTGTGGGCATTTAGTGCTATAAATTTCCCTCTAAACACTGCTTAGCTGTGTCCCAGAGATTCTGTACGTTTTGCCTTTCTTCTCATTGGTTTCAAAAGAAATGATTTTTTTTCTCCCTTAATTTTGTTATTTACCCAGTAGTCATTCAGGAACAGGTTGTTTCCATATAGTTGAGTGGTTTTGAGTGAGTTTCTTCATCCTGAGTCCTAATTTGATTGCACTGAGAGACTGTTTGTTTGCACTGAGAAACAGTCTGAGAGACTGTTTCTTATGATTTCCATTCTTTTGCGTTTGCTGAAGAGTGCTTTATTTCCAATTATATGTTCAATTTTAGAATAAGTGTGATGTGATGCTGAGAAGAATGTATATTCTGTTGATTTGTGGTGGAGAGTTCTGTAGATGTCTATTAGGTCCACTTGGTCCAGAGCTGAATTCAAGTCCTGACTATCCTGGTTAATTTTCTGTCTGGTTGATCTGTCTAATATTGACAGTGGGGTGTTAAAATCTCCCACTGTTATTGTGTGGGAGTCTAAGTCTCTTTGTAGGTCTCTAAGAACTTGCTTTATGAATCTGGGTGCTCCTGTATTGGATGCATATATATTTGGGACAGTTAGCTCTTCTTGGTGCACTCATCCCTTTACCATTATGTAATGCCCTTCTTTGTCTTTTTTATCTTTGTTGATTTAAAGTCTGTTTTATCAGAGACTAGGATTGCAACCCCTGCCTTTTTTTGTTTTCCATTTGCTTGGTAGATCTTGCTCCATCCCTTTATTTTGAGCCTGTGTGTGTCTCTGCATGTGAGATGGGTCTCCTGAATACAGCACACTGATGGGTCTTGACTTTTTATCCAACTTACCAGTCTGTGTCTTTTAATTGGGGCATTTAGCCCATTTACATTTAAGCCTCATGTTTTTATGTGTGAATTTGATCCTGTCATTATGGTGCTAGCTGGTTATTTGGCCCATTAGTTGATGCAGTTTCTTCACAGTGTCAATGGTCTTTACAATTTGTTATGTTTTTGCAGTGCTGGTACCGGTTTTTCCTTTCCATATTTAGTGCTTCCTTCAGGAGCTCTTGTAAGCCAGGCCTGGTGGTAACAAAGTCTCTCAGCATTTGCTAGTCTGTAAAGCATTTTATTTCTGCTTTGTTTATGAAACTTAGTTTGGTTTGATATGAAATTCTGGGTTGGAAATTCTTTTAAGAATGTTGAATATTGGCCCCCACTCTCTTCTGGCTTGTAGAGTTTCTGCAGAGAGATCCACTGTTAGTCTGATGGGCTTCCTTTTGTAGGTAACCCGACCTTTCTCTCTGCCTGCCCTTAACATTTTTCTCATTTGTTTCAACCATGGTGAATCTGACAATTATGTGTCTTGGGGTTACTCTTCTCAAGGACTATCTTTGTGCTGTTCTCTGTATTTCCTGAATTTGAATGTTGGCTTGTCTTGCTAGGTTGGGAAAGTTCTCCTGGATATTATCCTGAAGAGTGTTTTCCAACTTGGTTCTATTCTCCCCGTCACTTTCAGGTTCACCAGTCAAGCATAGGTTTCGTCTTTTCACATAGTCCCATATTTTTTGGAGACTTTATTTGTTCCTTTTCATTCTTTTTTCTCTAATCTTGTCTTCAAGCTTTATTTCATTAAGTTGATTTTCAATGTCTGATATCTTTTCTTCCGTTTGATCAATTCTGCTATTGATACTTGTGTATGCTTCACGAAATTCTCGTGCTGTGTTTTTCAGCTCCATCAGTCATTTATGTTCTTCTCTAAACTGGTTATTCAAGTTGACAATTCTTCTAACCTTTTTTCAAGGTTCTTAGATTCCTCGAATTGGGTTAGAGCATGCTCCTTTAGCTCAGAGGAGTTTGTTATTACCCACCTTCTGAAGTCTACTTCAGTCAATCCATCAAACTCATTCTGTGTCCAGTTTTGTTCCCTTGCTGATGAGGAGTTGTGATCCATTGGAGGAGAAGAGGCATTCTGGCTTTGGAATTTTCAGCCTTTTTGTACTGGTTTTTCCTCATCTTTGTGGCTTCATCTACCTTTGGTCTTCGGTGTTGGTGACCTTCGGTTGGGGTTTTTTTGTGTACATCCTTTTTGTTGATGTTGATGCTATTCCTTTCTGTTTGTTTTCCTTCTAACAGGCCCCTCTGCTGCCGGTCTGCTGGAGTTTGCTGGAGGTCCTCTCCAGACCCTGTTTGCCTGGGTATCACCAGCGGAGGCTACAGAACAGCAAAGATTGCAGCCTTTTCCTTCCTGTGGAAGCTTCATCCCAGAGGGGCACACCCCAGATGCCAGCCAGAGCTCTCCTGTGTGAGGTGTCTGTCGACCCCTACTGGAAGGTATTTCCCAGTCTGGAGGTACGGGGGTCAGGGACCCACTTGAGGAGGCATTCTGTCCATTAGCAGAGCTCTAGTGCTGTGCAGGGAGATCCACTGCTCTCTTCAGAGCCAACAGGCAGGAATGTTTACTGAAACTGTGCCCACAGCCGCCCCTTCCCCAAGGTGCTCTGTCCCAGGGAGATGGGAGTTTTATCTATAAGCCCCTGACTGGGACTGCTATCTTTCTTTCAGAGATGCCCTGCCCACAGACTAGGAATCTAGAGATGCAGTCTGGCTATGTGTTGCTTAATTTAACCATTCATGATGGTAGCAGCAATTAGGAACAAGTAGTGTTCATTATAGCTAATGTAAGAACAACTTTCACCTTTTTATAGTGCTTTTAGTAGGACCTGAACCTCCCAAATACAGATTTAACTCTCAATCATATTTTGAGAGGTAGAAAAAAAAAGTGTTGCCTCTCATTGTATTGCCAAAAGAGAAAAAAATTCTTTTTTGATTTCAACATCATATCTAACACCATGTTGAAAGATGCAATTTTTTTGTGCACTAACTAGCATCTATTTATTTTTCAAATGCAGTCATTTGATAGTATATTTTTTATAGTTTTGCAAACTTTTAAAACTTTAATACATGTTAGTGTTCAGATTTATATTTTGTATGTAATAGAATGTGGCATAAACTATAATTCTCTATGTAAGACTCTATAATGGCCCTTTTTAGTCTTTGTAAGAAATACAGATTTCAATAATTTTATAGCTGTAGGTCATCTGCAAGAGTCTGTTGTAATAATTTGGATTTATGAGATTTTTCTGTTTTATACAAAATATATGAAATATGTTGATTGTTCAGTAATTATTTCTGAATGAATATTCTGGGCAATATGCTGTACCAGGAACTGTGAATAAAGCAGTAAAAATGACAGAAAAGCCCTTTACCTGATGGAGCTCACCTACATATCAAGGACGGCAACATCAAACAATGGATTCCAAACATGGCATTACAATTGTGAGAGGTGCTATGAAGAAGTAGAGCTTCCTAATCTTCAAAGTGCATTTGAATCATCTGGAGATGTTATTAAAATGCAAACTCTTATTCAATAAATCTGGGCAGAGGCCTGAGGTTCTATGTTCCCAGCAAACTGCAGTGATGCCAGCACTGCAGGCTGTTCTACAGCTCACACCTGTACTAACAAGGAGCCAGCGTTGGGCAGAATGTACAGCAGGAAACCTGGCTGAATTTAGGAGGATAAGGATAGCTTTTCTGAGAAGTAATGCACACATTATCCAGACTTGAAGGAGAAATAGGAGTTAATTGATAATTGAGGAGGAATAGAGAATATTTTGTGTAGAAAGAATAGCAAGTGTGAAGGCCCAGGCAGGAAGAAATCCTGTCACACTCAAGAACATGCAAGGCCAGCATGGTTCCAACACAAAGTCCAGGAGAGAGTTGAGGCCAAGGTATTGGCAGGGATCAAATCACTAAGGGGTTAAGGAAGGGATGTTTGGAAGCATAGTGGAGAGAGTCTAAAATGTAAGGGATTGGAAAAGGTTTGAGCAAATGGATTCTTGAGGTTGCAGGCAATAGGTTTTGCAGAGGAGAGGAATGCAGTTGAGAGCCAGGGCTCCAGGAATGTTCTCTGGGGCACTCTTGGGGGTTTGTAGTCAGAGAGGGGCCTGAGAAGTTAAAAGAATGCTTCTAGGGATCCCCAAAGGATGACATTTAAAGAGGAGAGAAAGGACAGAGAACAGATAGAACTCAAAATGTGTTGATGAAGTCACATTAGGCAGCAGAAGGGGAACCCAGACTTAGAATGATCATCTAAGCTTTAAGTCTAGCACCACTGTTGTGTAATAAAGAATGTGAGAAAGCTTGCTGAGTGGTCAGGAATAAGGGCTTTGAAACCTGTCTGCAGGAGTCAGGACCTGCCTTAGCATCCTCCTAGCCCTGTGAATATGAGCAATATTCTTCACTGCTCAGTTGGTAAATGTCCTCATCTCTAAAAAGAGTTAATTTAAGTGTCAATGTCCTAGCGTGGTTGTGAGGATTAAATGCAACACACATGTCAAGAGATTCTTGGTGTATGTTAGTCAATAAATGTTGGTCATTATTATTTGTATTCTTACATAAATCATGTATTTATTTTGTTGATGTTATTTTTCTGAGGAGATTGAAGTTCGTTATATGCAACAAATTATCTAATTTAAAGATATTATCATTAAAAGAAATATATTTAATATGGAAATAACACAATTAGAATTACACAGTTTCCTACTCCAAAGTTCTTGCACAGGTGTCCCTATCATTTGTGCATATGACTATCACTTTTTAACTAGCTTTGTACTTTGTTCTTTTAGTACTCTAATGATATTTTTTGAACATAGCCACAAAAGCAACTCATGTAGGAGACTGTATCTACACATTATTTCATTTTTTGATGGTTTTTAAGTAAGTTGTATTAGAGACAGCAATTTGCACAAATATATGAAACTGTGTGTTTTTAGAGACTTAAAATTAAGATTACCTTTTCTAGTCTTTCCTTTTGTAGGGGTGGTCAAGAGATGAAAGATCTGGCAAATGAGATACACATAAACATGTTATATGGTAGCCTACAAGAAATCTCACTTATGTTTTGGGGCTCTTCTCCCTTCTTCATCTTCTCACTTACTGGAATGTGGATGTGATGCCTGAACTGACATATCATATAGGAGTATAAGATGGGAGTCAGGCTGATGATGGAGAAGAACAAGATATAAAATACCTGCATCACTGAACACATGCCACTATGCCAGTCCAGAATAACCTTCACCTTGGTTCTGTCATGTGAGTGAGGAATACACTGTTATCTCATCTAAGCCAGGCATTTTGACATTTCAAAAATATTTGTTACCAAATTAATCCTAACTACTATACTACCATAAATAATAAAATTAAAAGAATATATATATAACTATATATATAAAAGCTTTCTTAACTTTTTAAAATTATACTTTAAGTTCTGGGGTACATGTGCAGAACGTGCAGTTTTGTTACATAGGTATACACATGCCATGGTGGTTTTCTGCACCCGTGAACCCATCACCTACATTAGGTATTTATCCCAATGCTATCCTTCCCCTAGACCCCCACCCCCCGACAGGCCCCACTGTGTGATGTTCCCCTCCCTGTGTCCATGTGTTTTCATTGTTCAGCTCCCACTTATGAGTGAGAACATGTGGTGTTTGGTTTTCTATTCTTGTGTTAGTTTGCTGAGAATGATGGTTTCCAGCTTCATCCATGTCCTTGCAAAGGACATGCATCCCTTTTTACAGCTGCATAGTATTCCATGGTGTATATGTGCCACATTTTCCTTATCCAGTCTATCATTGATGGATATTTGAGTTGGTTCCAAGTCTTTGCTATTGTGAATAGTGCTGCAATAAACATATATGTGCATGTGTCTTTACAGTAGAATGATTTATAATCCTTTGGGCATATACCCAGTAATGGGATTGCTGGGTATTTCTAGTTCTACATCCTTGAGGAATCGCCACACTGTCTTCCACAATAGTTGAACTAATTTACACTCCCACCAACAGTGTAAAAGTGTTCCCATTTCTCCACATCCTCTCCGGCATCCGTTGTTTCCTGACTTTTTAATGATCGCCATCTAACTGGCATGAGATAGTATCTCCTTGTGGTTTTGATCTGCATTTCTCTAACGACTATATATAACTTTCTTTTATATATATTTATATACAAAAGTTATATATATGAAGTTATGTGTATATATAACTTGTATGTATATATAACTTCATATATATAGTTATATATAAACTATATACTTAACTATATATAATTATATAGTTAATATATAGCTATATATAAGTATAGAGTTATATATTTACACATTTTAAAAGTTTTGTTCAAGCTTTTTCAAAATATCAAAGTAATTTAGGCCACAAAATAGTTAAATATGTTTGTATGAGCCTAAGATCTTCCATATATATATATATGTATATATATACTATATAGTTTATATATAACTACATACTTATATATAGTTCATATATAACTATATACTTATATAGATATATACAAAAATTATAGTTCTATATATATAGTAAGTGTAACTTATGGAAGTATTTATACTTACTATATAAACTATATAGTTATATGTATTTATATATAAAGTATATATATACACTAAGTGTATATTATACCATATAACTATATATGCCTAGCATATATAGGTTTTCCAGGTATATATAGCATCTGTCATGATAGGATGAATTCCCTCAGGTGGTTCAGCACCACACTCAGCACACAAGTAAGCTGCAGGATCATTACATAAACGACTCAGGCTCTTCCTAACTGATCTTATTGTTTTGATTTTGCAAGTGGGTAAATAAGAGGTTGAACTTTTGTTGCTTTGCTAAAATGAGTCTTTATATTTTAGTCTCTCACAGACCAGTGGGTGGTAAGTTTGATGTGATAGCATACACCAAAACTGTTGCACACATTCTAGCACTAAGAGAAGGCTTATTCATACCTTAGTGCGCATATCAGACACTTCTTATGTACCACTTCAAGTTCTCTCAGCCTTATCTCTCTTGTTGCAGTCAGGTGTGGACCAGCTGTGTGTGTGAGTGTGACAGATTTCACAAAGACACAAGCTAAGAGTGCCTTGCTTAATGTCTACACTGCTCATTCCTCACCTTCTACCTGGAACTTCCCTGCTGATGTTGAGACATGAGATGCCATCTAACCCCAGTCGGTGCCCTCTCATGTGCAAACCAGAAGCTCAATGAAGTTAAGACCTTGTGAGGCAAACGTTTAACCAATAAGACACAGCAACCAGTAGATAGAAGTTTTGTGGGTATTCGCTTCTTTCCCCTTCTTATGTGTATAATCTTCAGATTCAGTCCTTTGTAACCCTTTTAATTTTTGTAGGCCATCCAAAGATTGTATCAAGATAAAGCAATGGCACTTGATACTAGGTATTAATTGTTGCCAGATTATTAATGCACCCACATAATGGTGTTTCTCATTCCCTGACTCATGCTGATTTTCCCTTACTCCCTTTTTCCCTTTTTTCTTTCTTTTCTATGTTTATTTATTTATTTTCTTGGGGGGACAGAGTATTGCTGTGTCGCCCAGGCTGGAGTGCAGTGGTACATGCAACCTCCACCTCCTGGGTTCAAGCAATTCTCATGCCTCAGCTTCCCAAGTAGCTGAGATTACAGGTGCCTGCCACCAGGCCTGGCTAATTTTTGTATTTTCAGTAGAAAATAAGATGGCCTATGCTCATTCAGAATACATGACTCAAGAGGGTCAATGATGCTAAGATGTCTGTTGTAGGTAACAAACTTGTGGACTGTCTCTGTTAAGCCCTGATATGAAAGTGACAGTGCAGACCCCTAAGGTTCAGAAGCAAGGCCATGCCTTCTCTGGCAGATAATTGCTCTTTATTTTAAAAAAGGCTACCTGTATCTCCTGCATGTTCAGGGATGCTAGTACATTTATGAGAAACTGTAAAAATGAAAGAAAGAATGACCTAAAGTATAGATGTACATGAACTTCTAAGCATTGGCAAGTAGCTTAGTTATGGTGAGAATCTGGGAAGACCCCAGAATATTAGGGACGAGCCAATCTGAAGAAAGGATATGTAGCAGTGACCAGCCATTTTCTTTGGCCACTCTAGTGTTTATTCAATGGACATATGAACAAATGACCATTATAGTAGGGATGGAGGTCATGCATGTAACCACAGTAGAGATTGTTATCTCTCACCAAGACTAATATAATTACTTCCACTGCGAAACGTTTAACCTTCCAGGAGAAGAGACTGATATTGAACACTTAATATGCCCTATTACCTCAAGGGGTACAGTACTTCCATTCTTAAAAAGGCAGCAATTTGCCATTATCTCATCAGATATGCACCCTGGGAGTCTGATTGCCTTCTCTTACTGCAGTGCCTCCACTTCTGTAAATCAGAAAAAAAAAAAAAAAGAAAAAAAAAGTAGAGGGAAAAATGAGGAAAAAAAAGAACAGTTTCTCAGTGAACTGTAAAACAACATCAGTACATGTAATTTTAATTCTAGAAAGAAAGAAGAGAGGGAATGGGGCAGAAAGAGTATTTGAACACAGAATGACAAAAATCTCTGATATTTGTTGAAAGGTGGTAAGTTTACAGTTTCCAGAAATTCAGTGAACCCCAAGTAGAGTAAATGCAAAAAAGAACCACACCTCGGGAAATTATGGTCAAATTGCTGAAAGCCCAAGATAAAGGAAAAAAAAAAACTTGTAAGCAGTCAGAGTAAAATCACACATCATATGTAAGGAAATAACAGTGTGAATGTCTACTGACTTCTCATAAGAAGCAATATAGGCTAGAAGAGAATGAGATAATATTAAAGAGCTGAAAGAGAAAAAAAGTCAGAATTCTATACACAGTGAAAATATCCTTTGAAGGTGGAATATAGGCATTTTCAGACAAAATAAAAGCAAGAAAATTCATCACCAGCAGATATGCTCCATAATAACTGCTATAGGAAGTTATCCAGGCTGAAGGGAAAGAAATTCAAAAGAAAATTCAGATATTTTAGAAATGTAGAGTTAAACCAGCAGTTTTATATTTTCTGTCACATTTTATAAAATATACATGATACAAGCAAAAAATGTATATTATTATGAGTTTAAAACATATAAATATAATTCTATAACAACTATAGCATATAAAATGGAGCTAGAGGTAAAAAATGGACCTAATATTGCAAGATTTCTACATCATAAAAAAGTGATCCAGCGAAATAGTTAAGAATGCATATTGGGGTCCTTAGAGTAACCACTAAAAACGAATGTAAAGATAGAACTAAAAATAAAATAAGCCCTTAATTACTACAGGATATTCATATGATAACTCTGTCAACACTGTCCCTAATGATGCCTGAAGTAATGGAAAATAAGAATATCTGGCAATTAATTCACATGTTGATAATTCAAAAGCAACTATCCTTGAGAAATTCTAAGCATTCAATGCTTCCCTATGAAGAGAGAATGTGAACAAGACTTAGAATGATAATCTATCAGCTATAATTTTTTATGTTAACTGGCTACTTTAAGGTATTTCTTATTGCTTTAATACTTGAACATATCCAACATCTAAAATACAATAAAAAATAATTTGACATTTAAAAAACAGAAAAAATAAACAATGAAAATTAACTTCAAGATGATCCAATGTTGCCCACTGATACATATTGACACATTGTTACATAACTACAAAATGATTTATTGTAAAACTTTAAAATATATATGCATAAAAAGGATTAGTTTTCAACAGGAAGTCAGTATACTACAAACAGTTTAAAGTCAGATGTACATCAGTGATCAATTTTTTAAAATGTTTGTTATAGAGAGCAGAAGAGTAGTTATGTGGTTGGGGTGGAGACGGGGTGACTACAAAGTGGTATGGTAGATAAATATTAAAAGTAATAAAAATAATGTTTTATATCTTGATTGTGGAGGTGGTTACGTGAACAAATGCATTTGCCAGTACTCATTGAACCTGTCACTTAAAAGAGGTACAGTTTAATATGTAAACTGTACCCCAAAAAGTAAAAAATGTAGACCAAACTCATTAACTTGTTGTATATCTGGGAAATCAAATAATCATAATCAATAGTTATTGGTCAACATGAAATTTGACAATAATTTCAGAAAAATAATATTTTGAGAAAATTATTTCCTCAAATTAGCTATTTAATTTTATAATACAGCAATTTTCTATGTAACAAGTTTGATCAGAGCACATTTTTCCCCCTTAAGAGGAGGACAGCTTATCAAGTAACACCTGGAGAAAATAATCGGAGGACAGAGATAAAATTCAAGTAGTATATTTCCTGTTAACGAACCACAAATTGGGTATAAAATGCAGGCTTCAGGAAGATAATACAGGTAGTTGAGAAAATGAAACAAAGTAATAATGCAGAAAGATTATAAAGAGCTGCAGGTTCAGCTTTGTATCTTTACTATCAGCAAACATAGCGCCAAGTAGATTATAATGGTTTCATCTTTACTTTTCTATTTCTCTCAAGTTTAATGTGATAGCACGATTTTAAATGCTGAGTTAATTAGATACTTCAGTGTATTAACTTTCTCTCCCTTTTTTGGCAGTTAGTATCTATACTGTTAAATTCCTCTAGAATCTGTACTTTTATAAATAGTTTACTTAAACTTTAAAAATAAATAAGAGTAATAAATTACTTTGATAGAATTAGGCCCTGTAAGTTGATTATATTCATTCATCTATTTATTTAAGTACTCACAAACTGTACTATGCAAATGTTACTCCCAGCTACTGAAGAGCATGAAAAGAAATGCAGGCATACTGCTTATTCCAAGGACTTCACATATAAAAAAGGAGAGCTGGAAAAAAATTACAGGTAGCAAAACAAGGTCA
The DNA here is from genome assembly GCF_000001405.40 of Homo sapiens. Taxonomy (NCBI): domain Eukaryota; kingdom Metazoa; phylum Chordata; class Mammalia; order Primates; family Hominidae; genus Homo; species Homo sapiens. Next base: position 115,174,547 of record NC_000006.12, read on the forward strand.
AATAGAATTAATTACCAAGCAAATTACCTAGATGCCTATTCAAGATAATAATTGCTAAAAATGCCAATGAAATTTAAAAACTTCTTAGTTTACTACCACCCAAACAAAATGGAACTTGCTTTGATCTTTAAAGATAATATGACAAACACTGAAATACTTGAACTCTTTTGCAGTTTCTCTTTTCATTTTCTCAAGGACAAATATAAAAATAGTCTTGGAACATATTTTTTCTATAACTACTGATTAAGAACTTAAACACAGCTTGCATTTTATAACAATGTGTTTATTTTTTAAATTGTAAAGGGACATTTTTGAAAGAGTATATTGCCCTCACAGCCAAAGAACCCAAACTATTTTATGTTTCTCTTCTGAAGCCACTTTTATGAAACATAAATGCAATATGTTATTGGAAAGAGAAATAAATTTGTATGCATGAATTCACACTTTCTTGTGAGCCTTTCCCATGGAAAATACTACACAAATGTACTCTGTGACTACCAGTATTATAAGGTAAATGCAAAATTATTTTTTGGCTATTACTATAATTAACGTATATGAGCTATGTAAAGGGAGGAGAAAATGAATTCAAACTGAATCTGAATATTCTGGGTAATACACGGATTGCAAATGGATTAATACACTAGGAAAGAAGTAACACTGTAGATAAATTAAGAACAAATAGGAGGAGCCAAGATGGCCGAATAGGAACAGCTCCGGTCTACAGCTCCCAGTGTGAGCCACGCAGAAGACGGGTGATTTCTGCATTTCCATCTGAGGTACCGGGTTCATCTCACTAGGGAGTGCCAGACAGTGGGCACAGGTCAGTGGGTGCGCGCACCGTGCGCGAGCCGAAGCAGGGCGAGGCATTGCCTCACTTGGGAAGCACAAGGGGTCAGGGAGTTCCCTTTCCGAGTCAAAGAAAGGGGTGACAGACGCACCTGGAAAATCGGGTCACTCCCACCCGAATATTGCGCTTTTCAGACCGGCTTAAAAAACGGCGCACGACGAGATTATATCTCGCACCTGGCTCGGAGGGTCCTATGCCCACGGAGTCTCGCTGATTGCTAGCACAGCAGTCTGAGATCAAGCTGCAAGGCGGCAGCGAGGCTGGGTGAGGGGCGCCCACCATTGCCCAGGCTTGCTTAGGTAAACAAAGCAGCCAGGAAGCTCGAACTGTGTGGAGCCCACCACAGCTCAAGGAGGCCTGCCTGCCTCTGTAGGCTTCACCTCTGGGGGCAGGGCACAGACAAACAAAAAGACAGCAGTAACCTCTGCAGACTTAAATGTCCCTGTCTGACAGCTTTGAAGAGAGCAGTGGTTCTCCCAGCACGCGGCTGGAGATCTCAGAACGGGCAGACTGCCTCCTCAAGTGGGTCCCTGAACCCTGACCCCCGAGCAGCCTAACTGGGAGGCACCCCCCAGCAGGGGCACACTGACACCTCACACGGCAGGGTATTCCAACAGACCTGCAGCTGAGGGTCCTGTCTGTTAGAAGGAAAACTAACAAACAGAAAGGACATACACAGAAAAAAACCCATCTGTACATCACCATTATCAAAGACCAAAAGTAGATAAAACCACAAAGATGGGGAAAAAACAGAACAGAAAAACTGGAAACTCTAAAACGCAGAGCGCCTCTCCTCCTCCAAAGGAACGCAATTCCACACCAGCAACGGAACAAAGCTGGATGGAGAATGACTTTGATGAGCTGAGAGAAGAAGGCTTCAGACGATCAACTTACTCTGAGCTACGGGAGGAAATTCAAACCAAAGGCAAAGAAGTTGAAAACTTTGAAAAAAATTTAGAAGAATGTATAACTAGAATAACCAATACCGAGAAGTGCTTAAAGGAGCTGATGGAGCTGAAAACCAAGGCTCCAGAACTACGTGAAGAATGCAGAAGCCTCAGGAGCTGATGCGATCAACTGGAAGAAAGGGTATCAGCAATGGAAGATGAAATGAATAAAATGAAGCGAGAAGGGAAGTTTACAGAAAAAAGAATAAAAAGAAATGAGCAAAGCCTCCAAGAAATATGGGACTATGTGAAAAGACCAAATCTATGTCTGATTGGTGTACCTGAAAGTGATGGGGAGAATGGAACCAAGTTGGAAAACACTCTGCAGGATATTATCCAGGAGAACTTCCCCAATTTAGCAAGGCAGGCCAACGTTCAAATTCAGGAAATACAGAGAATGCCACAAAGATACTCCTCGAGAAGAGCAACTCCAAGACACATAATTGTCAGATTCACCAAAGTTGAAATGAAGGAAAAAATGTTAAGGGCAGCCAGAGAGAAAGGTCGGGTTACCCTCAAAGGGAAGCCCATCAGACTAACAGCAGATCTCTTGGCAGAAACTCTACAAGCCAGAAGAGAGTGGGGACCAATATTCAACATTCTTAAAGAAAAGAATTTTCAACCCAGAATTGCATATCCAGCCAAACTAAGCTTCATAAGTGAAGGAGAAATAAAATCCTTTACAGACAAGCAAATGCTGAGAGATTTTGTCACCACCAGGCCTGCCCTAAAAGAGCTCCTGAAGGAAGCACTAAACATGGAAAGGAACAACCAGTACCAGCCACTGCAAAATCATGCCAAAACGTAAAGACCATTGAGACTAGGAAGAAACTGCATCAACTAACGAGCAAAATCACCAGCTAACATCATAATGACACGATCAAATTCACACATAACAATATTAACTTTAAATGTAAATGGACTAAATGCTCCAATTAAAAGACACAGACTGGCAAATTGGATAAAGAGTCAAGACTCATCAGTGTGCTGTATTCAGGAAACCCATCTCACGTGCAGAGACACACATAGACTCAAAATAAAAGGATAGAGGAAGATCTACCAAGCAAATGGAAAACAAAAAAAGGCAGGGGTTGCAATCCTAGTCTCTGATAAAACAGACTTTAAACCAACAAAGATCAAAAGAGACAAAAAAGGCCATTACATAATGGTAAAGGGATCAATTCAAAAAGAAGAGCTAACTATCCTAAATATATATGCACCCAATACAGGAGCACCCAGATTCATAAAGCAAGTCCTGAGTGACCTACAAAGAGACTTAGACTCCCACACATTCATAATGGGAGACTTTAACACCCCACTGTCAACATTAGACAGATCAACGAGACAGAAAGTCAACAAGGATACACAGGAATTGACCTCAGCTCTGCACCAAGCGTACCTAATAGACATCTACAGAACTCTCCAACCCAAATCAACAGAATATACATTTTTTTCAGCACCACACAACACCTATTCCAAAATTGATCACATACATGGAAGTAAAGCTGTCCTCAGCAAATGTAAAAGAACAGAGATTATAACAAACTATCTCTCAGACCACAGTGCAATCAAACTAGAACTCAGGATTAAGAATCTCACTCAAAACCGCTCAACTACATGGAAACTGAACAACCTGCTCCTGAATGACTACTGGATACATAACGAAATGAAGGCAGAAATAAAGATGTTCTTTGAAACCAATGAGAACAAAGACACAACATACCAGAATCTCTGGGACGCATTCAAAGCAGTGTGTAGAGGGAAATTTATAGCACTAAATGACCACAAGAGAAAGCAGGAAAGATCCAAAATTGACACCCTAACATCACAATTAAAAGAACTAGAAAAGCAAGAGCAAACACATTCAAAAGCTAGCAGAAGGAAAGAAATAACTAAAATCAGAGCAGAACTGAAGGAAATAGAGACACAAAAAACCCTTCAAAAAATTAATGAATCCAGGAGCTGGTTTTTTGAAAGGATCAACAAAATTGATAGACCGCTAGCAAGACTAATAAAGAAAAAAAGAGAGAAGAATCAAATAGACACAATAAAAAATGATAAAGGGGATATCACCACCGATCCCACAGAAATACAAACTACCTCTGCGCAAATAAACTAGAAAATCTAGAAGAAATGGATAAATTCCTTGACACATACACTCTCCCAAGACTAAACCAGGAAGAAGTTGAATCTCTGAATAGACCAATAACAGGAGCTGAAATTGTGGCAATAATCAATAGTTTACCAACCAAAAAGAGTCCAGGACCAGATGGATTCACAGCCAAATTCTACCAGAGGTACAAGGAGGAGCTGGTACCATTCCTTCTGAAACTATTCCAATCAATAGAAAAAGAGGGAATCCTCCCTAACTAATTTTATGAGGCCAGCATCATTCTGATACCAAAGCCGGGCAGAGACCCAACCAAAAAAGAGAATTTTAGACCAATATCCTTGATGAACACTGATGCAAAAATCCTCAATAAAATACTGGCAAACCGAATCCAGCAGCACATCAAAAAGCTTATCCACCATGATCAAGTGGGCTTCATCCCTGGGATGCAAGGCTGGTTCAATGTACGCAAATCAATAAATGTAATCCAACATATAAACGGAGCCAAAGACAAAAACCACATGATTATCTCAATAGATGCAGAAAAAGCCTTTGACAAAATTCAACAACCCTTCATGCTAAAAACTCTTAATAAATTAGGTATTGATGGGATGTATTTCAAAATAATAAGAGCTATCTATGACAAACACACAGCCAATATCATACTGAATGGGCAAAAACTGGAAGCATTCCCTTTGAAAACTGGCACAAGACAGGGATGCCCTCTCTCACCACTCCTATTCAACATAGTGTTGGAAGTTCTGGCCAGGGCAATTAGGCAGGAGAAGGAAATAAAGGGTATTCAATTCGGAAAAGAGGAAGTCAAATTGTCCCTGTTTGCAGACGACATGATTGTATATCTAGAAAACCCCATTGTCTCAGCCCAAAATCTCCTTAAGCTGATAAGCAACTTCAGCAAAATCTAAGGATACAAAATCAATGTACAAAAATCACAAGCATTCTTATACACCAACAACACACAAACAGAGAGCCAAATCATGAGTGAACTCCCATTCACAATTGCTTCAAAGAGAATAAAATACCTAGGAATCCAACTTACAAGGGATGTGAAGGACCTCTTCAAGGAGAACTACAAACCACTGCTCAAGGAAATAAAAGAGGATACAAACAAATGGAAGAACATTCCACGCTCATGGGTAGGAAGAATCAATATCGTGAAAATGGCCATACTGCCCAAGGTAATTTACAGATTCAATGCCATCCCCATAAAGCTACCAATGACTTTCTTCACAGAATTGGAAAAAACTACTTTAAAGTTCACATGGAACCAAAAAAGAGCCCACATCACCAAGGCAATCCTAAGCCAAAAGAACAAAGCTGGAGGCATCACACTACCTGACTTCAAACTATACTACAAGGCTACAGTAACCAAAACAGCATGGTACTGGTACCAAAACAGAGATATAGATCAATGGAACAGAACAGAGCCCTCAGAAATAATGCCGCATATCTACAACTATCTGATCTTTGACAAACCTGACAAAAACAAGCAATGGGGAAAGGATTCCCTATTTAATAAATGGTGCTGGGAAAACTGGCTAGCCATATGTAGAAAGCTGAAACTGGATCCCTTCCTTACACTTTATACAAAAATCAATTCAAGATGGATTAAAGACTTAAATGTTAGACCTAAAACCATAAAAACCGTAGAAGAAAACCTAGGCATTACCATTCAGGACATAGGCATGGGCAAGGACTTCATGTCCAAAACACCAAAAGCAATGGCAACAAAAGACAAAATTGACAAATGGGATCTAATTAAACTAAAGAGCTTCTGCACAGCAAAAGAAACTACCATCAGAGTGAACAGGCAACCTACAAAATGGGAGAAAATTTTTGCAACCTACTTATCTGACAAAGGGCTAATATCCAGAATCTACAATGAACTCAAACAAATTTACAAGAAAAAAATAACCCCATCAAAAAGTGGGCAAAGGACATGAACAGACACTTCTCAAAAGAAGACATTTATGCAGCCAAAAAACACATGAAAAAATGCTCATCATCATTGGCCGTCAGAGAAATGCAAATCAAAACCACAATGAGTTACCATCTCACACCAGTTAGAATGGCAATCATTAAAAAGTCAGGAAACAACAGGTGCTGGAGAGGATGTGGAGAAATAGGAACACTTTTACACTGTTGGTGGGACTGGAAACTAGTTCAACCATTGTGGAAGTCAGTGTGGTGATTCCTCAGGGATCTAGAACTAGAAATACCATTTGACCCAGCCATCCCATTACTAGGTATATACCCAAAGGACTATAAATCATGCTGCTATAAAGACACATGCACATGTATGTTTATTGCGGCATTATTCACAATAGCAAAGACTTGGAACCAACCCAAATGTCCAACAACGATAGACTGGATTAAGAAAATGTGGCACATATACACCATGGAATACTATGCAGCCATAAAAAATGATGAGTTCATGTCCTTTGTAGGGACATGGATGAAATTGGAAATCATCATTCTCAGTAAACTATCGCAAGAACAAAAAACCAAACACCGCATATTCTCACTCATAGGTGGGAATTGAACAATGAGATCACATGGACACAGGAAGTGGAATATCACACTCTGGGGACTGTGGTGGGGTGGGGGGAGGGGGGAGGGATAGCATTGGGAGGTATACCTAATGCTAGATGACAAGTTAGTGGGTGAAGCGCACCAGCATGGCACATGTATACATATGTAACTAACCTGCACAATGTGCACATGTACCCTAAAACTTAAAGTATATAAAAAAAAAAAGAACAAAGTAGCTTTATGGGGATTTATAACATTATTGCTAAATTTTCTTACTAGACCTCTGTTGGCAAAATGATTGCTCACTAGAAGTTTAACAATTATATATATTTACATTTAGAATTATAGGACTGGTTAGAATAAATACTAGTTTACCCCCATTGTCTCTAGACCCCATTGTCTCTGAGATGGTTTCACCATGTTGGCCAGGCCCATCTCGAACTTCTGGCCTCAAGTAATCTGACTGCCTCAGGTTCCCAAAGTTCTGGGATTATAGATGTGAGCCAACACACCTGGCCGATCAGTTGACATTAAGTAAATGAATTACCTTTGATAAGGTGGGTGAACTTCATCCAATTAGATGGAAAACATTAAAAACAAAAACTGAGGTTTCCATGGAAGAAATCTACCTGAAAACTGTAGCATCAACCCTGCCAAAAATTCAGCCTGCCTGCGTACCCTACAGATTTCAGACTGGCTAGTTCATTGTGTGAGTCAAGTCCTTAAAATCTCTTGGTAGACAGATGGATAAATAAATGGATAGATGATAGATAGGTGATAGATTAGATAGATATCCTATCTATCAGTTATATTTCTCTGCAGAAACCTGATTGATACAGTAGGACTTTATTTTTTATCCTTAAGGAATGGTAGCAGAAAAGAGAAGTATGGAGTAGAGAAGAAAGAGGAAAGACGAGAGAGAGAGGGAGAGAAGGGGGATGAATAGCATCCAGAACCTGAGCCAAGATTGCAGAAATAGCCATAATTTTAGAGAAATATAATGGTGAAAATTCAACTTTATTTATATTACTGCAAAGAAAATATCTGTATCCTGGAAGTATTTAATAAAGACTGCTATAAAGATAACACTTTTGGTCAGTGAGGATCAGGGAATACCAGATTGCCAAAAAATAAAAAATAAAAACACCAGCATGGCACTAAGTTTGCATGAAAACCCTTAAGCTGAATTAGGCTCTGAGCCATAGACAACATGATAATTTCCATATCCATTTCATTTAGATTTTTCTTGCTAATCATTTCAAATCTGTTACTGATGGCTTCATCCCACTAATAATTTCTAGAAATCTTAGAAAGAGCTTTGAATGTCCTGAAATTATGAAGTGAAAGAGCAAATACTATCAAGATCTTAAAAAGCAGTGGGGCATGGTGGCTCATGCCTGTAATCTCAGCACTTTAGGAGGCTGAGGTGGGTGGATCACCTGAAGTCAGGAGTTCAAGACCAGCCTGTCCAACATGGTGAAACCCTGTCTCTACTAAAGATACAAAAATTAGCCAGGTGTGGTGGCAGTCAACTATAATCCCAGCTACTCAGGAGGTTGAGGCAGGAGAATCACTTGAACCCTGGAGGTGGAGGTTTCAGTGAGCTGAAATCGCCCCAGCCTGGGTGACAAGAGCAACTCCGTCTCAAAATATATATATATGTACAATTAAAAGGCATATGACCCCAGCTAACAACTGTGGTTACAAAGGTGACTATGATATAAGCATCAGTTATCTATTGCTTATGTAGTTAGGTATGACGTTTATTTTTAAATGGCAGCTTGTGGTGAGCTTCACAGGAATTTAAAATAATTGTATTTCATATTTTAAAAATATTTCCCCAAATGTATTTTTTCCAAAATTAACTTTCACAGTCCATTAATAAGTTTTCAAAAACAAAATTAAACTATTAATAGAGTTGAAGAGAATAATTTTACCATATGCTTTTTCTGTTTCAATCATGTACATTGACTTCTCGGTTATGATATGCAGTGTAATTTTGGTAAACTTCGACTTATTTGTTTATAGTCTTTCTTTTCTCCAGAGTAGAGTTAACATTGCCTACATAAATATTTACAATGCAAATGAAAGCAGGTGCAGTATAATAAATTAAAATTGAGATGAGTATAATACCTAGGCAATAAACTTGCTAATTGTGGTTTTAAAATATGTTTCTTGGCAATCCAGTAGCCAAAAAAAAGAAAAGAAATGGTCACATCAAATCACCTGTAATAAAAAATAGACTGGGTACTCAGAACAATGTAACTCTTCCACATGTTGAAGCTACTGAAAGTATCCTGAGTTTTCAAAAGGAGAAGAGCAACTCGTGGTACTATAAACACATTCCTCAGCACCATCCTTACAATGAACAGGGCAATGAGAATTTCAAAGGCACTTTTAGATAACATCCTTCCAGGTAGGCTGAAAGCAAAATAAGAACAATCTTTTTGTCAACCAAAATTATATAGCCTAACTTCCAGATCAGGTTAAGATGGAAAAAGTACACTCTCTCTCCCAGGAAACACCACCAAAATCCCCTGGACAGTGCAGTGAATATAGACAGAGAAATGTCCATGAAAAACAGTCTCTTTTAGTCCAGAGAACTCGGAAGGGCCACATCTATGGGATGTATGCACGTAAAAGGAAATCCTCTTTTTGTATTTTCTTTCTTTTTATTCTCTCAGCATTACCTCAAAGCAAGCCCCCTTAGGAAACTGCACTCCTGCGAAAATGCGGTGAAATAGCAATAGTGATGGCAGTGACAGTAGAGATGGCAGTCACCTAGGTATCTAAAACACTGATAAAAATATTCTCATTCCTGACTAGAGAAACACGAAAGGAGCTCCTGTGGTCAAAGCATATAGGGGGAATCTCTGTTACTTGTTCTCTCTCTTTTGTCACTTTTCCTCAAAACAGACCTATTTGCAGAAAGCTTGTAACAGTTTGGGAGACAAAATTTTCAGCTTTCTAGCCAGAGCACCAAAAATTGGTCCTTTGGGAGCTGTAATATGTTAGAGAATTACAGGGGGTGGAGGATACAGAACAAGGTCCCTTAAAACCCTATATAACGTCCTGAACTTACTCCTGATCTGTACAGGTGAGGGAATGATGTAGAACAACAGAGCAAAGGCTTATGGAATGGAAATACTCTACAGATGGCCATTCAAGTGCCATTTGACTCACTCCTGAGGACTGGATAAATAGAATGGACCAAAATAGCACTGAAAGGTGTTACAATCAAAACTAAGATTGGAACCTGCAGACCACAGAAGGTGAATCTGGACTGCTTCGTGTGACATTAACTAGCAAACAACAAAAAGTACACATTCAGCAGAGGATTTTAACAAGACACAGAGACAAAATCTTCAAAATTTCCAGGATACAATATAAAATTATTCAACCTAAAAAGAGGGGGAAAATGTTAAAAATTATTAAGAAAAAAGATCATCAATAGACAATCACAAAAGAATCCAGATGCTAAACTTAGAAAGATGTTTTAAAGTAACTATTCTACCCGTGTTTTATAAAATACGATGAAAAACTCTTGAAATGAAGGGGAAGATAGAACTTGTCAACAAAACTGGTAAGTAAAAAACTACCAATAAAAATTCTAGAACTAAAAATAAAAGAAATTAAAACTTCAACAGAGGAGTTCAATCACAGAATGAAAATTATAAAAGAGTCACTGAACTTGCAGATGGATCATAGAAATTATCCAAGCTACATAAAAAATAGCTATTGAATAAATGGAGCCTAAGAGACCTGTGTGACAATATCAGAAGTTCCAACAACTATGTCTTTGGGGTTCCAAAAAAAGAGAAGAATGTTCTGTACGTGTGCATGTGTGCCTGTGCACACACATAAACACACACAATGTAACTTGCTAAACATTACCAAAAATTGGAAAAATATATAAATTTACAGATTCAAAATCTCAGTGAACTCAAGCAGAACACATCGAAAAGAAAACCATGACCAGACACATCATAATCAAACTACTGAAAAGCAAAGATTAACAAAAAAAAGTCTTGAAAGTAGCCAAACGAAAACAAAATATTGCTTGCAGATAAACAACTCAAATGCCTGAAGAGTTCTCATTATAAAAATGGGTGCCAGAAGACAGTGGAAGAATATTTTCAAAGTATAGAAAGAAATGAACCGTTATCCCACAAATCTAGATTTAGTGTAATATCTTTCAGGAATAATGACAAAACAAGGATATTTTTTCTCACTTGAAGGGAAACTAACATAATTTATCACCAGTAGAGCTAGTCTAAAAATAAATGTTAAATAAATTTCCTCATGATGAAGTACAATGAAAAAAGAGAGAAATTTGGAATTTCTGGAGAGAAAGTAAAGCAGAAGAATTGGTAAATACCTGAATAAATATAACAAATTTTCTACTCTTATGTAAAATAGGTGTGATTGTAAAAAGTGATAATTATGAGGGTTTCAATGTATGTAGACACAATACATATGAACAACACAAAAATAAACAGTAGAGAATAAAGACATTTATAATGTGATAAAGTTTCTCCTTTTTTTTTTTTTTTTTTTTTTTGAGACAGAGTCTCACTCTGTTGCCCAGGGTGGAGTGCAGTGGTGCAATCTCAGCTCACTGCAAGCTTTGCCTCCTGGGTTCACTCCATTCTCCTGCCTCAGCCTCCTGAGTAGCTGGGACTACAGGCACCCGCCACCACACCTAGCTAATTTTTTGTTTTTGTATTTCTAGTAGAGACGGGGTTTCACCACATTAGCCAGGATGGTCTCGATCTCCTGACCTCATGATCCACCTGCCTCTGCCTCCCAAAGTGCTGGGATTACAGGAGTGAGCCATCACGCCTGGCCAAGTTTCTCCTTTTTACTTGAAGTGGTAAAATATTAACTCCAAGTGGAATGTGTAAAAAGTTACATATACATGTATGTATGTATGAATATAGAGCAACCATTGAAAAACAATATAGAGACAAAAAGGCAATATTTTTGTTAAAATGGAATTTTAAAATATTCAAATAACCAAAAGAAGTATAAAAGGGAAATCAGCAGAACAAACATAATAACAATAAAATTAACAATCATTCATCAATAATAAAATAGAAGACCTAAACCCAATATTGAGCAAACAGACCAACTAAAAGAGAACATCAGATTAGATGAATAAAATAAGTCACAAGATATATTTTGTATCTTTTATATCTACAAGAAACTTTATGTATAATGAAATAAGGTCATTAGAAAAAGGATGGAAAAAGACGCAGTATGCAAACACTAATCAAATATTAAAGTGGCTATGTTATTACTAAAAAAGTAAACTTCAAAAGAGGGAAAACAACCAGGGATAAAAAGGTTCACTAAATAATGATAAACTTACCAGGAAGCCATAGCAATGTCTATACATGAAACTTAGAGCTGCAAAATACGTGAGGCAAAAAATAACATAACTGAAAGGAGACATAGAAAAATCCACTAATGGTATATTCAACAACATAAATGAATCTCAAAAACATTATGCTAAGTGAAAAAAGCCAAACAGAAAGTTTCATATTGAATGACTCCATTTATATGACATTCTGGAGAAAAAAAATCAAAGCTCTCAGAAAAGTGGTTACCAGGGTATAGAAACAATGTAGTTGGTGAAAATATTTTGGGTGACAATTGCACTTGTTCTACATCCTGATTGTGGTAGAGGTTATGTAACTATGCTTTATCAAAACTCCCAGAATCATACATCAAAAAGTGTATTTTTATTAAGTGAATTATAAATAAACAAATCACTAAATTATAGATAAATGAATTGGCGATGTAGCTAAAAATTGCACCCCTCTGTTGCTCTGACTTAATAGAAAAAATTTTTAGAAATCTGAAATAATGGATCTCAATTTTCTCAATTAAGAGAAATACTTTGTGCGATAGAATGTCTTTTCTTTTCCTGATACTTCCTTCCTCTCTGTATGCATCCCATTTTCTTGTGACTGTGTAGCTTCTTGCACTAGAACCAGCTCCTATTTCTCCACATCACTAATATTAGGCTTTGCCAGGTAATCTTTGCCCAGTGAAGTCTGGGCAAAATTAAGATTGTACCGAGTGTGAGCCTAGTCCTTAAGAGATATCGAGGGTTTTCTTTCATATATCTTGTTTTTCTCCCATTGGTAATAGATAATGTGCGTCCAACTAGCCACTTCTTTTTTTTTTTTTTTTTTGAGACATAGTCTTGCTCTGTAGCCCAGGCTGGAGTGCAGTGGCGTGATCTTGGCTCACTGCAACCTCCGCCTCCCAGGTCTCAGTTCAAGTTCAAGCAATTCTCCTGCCTTAGCCTCCCGAGTAGCTGGGATTACAGGCACGCTCCACCATGTCCAGCTAATTTTTTGTATTTTTAGTAGAGACGGGGTTTCACCATGTTGGCCAGGCTGGTCTTGAACTCCTGACCTCGCGATCCACCGGCCTCAGCCTCCCAAAATGCTGGGATTACGGGCGTGAGCCACCACGCCCAGCCTAGTCCACTTTCATCTCAGGGAGATGAAAGACACACGTAGCAGACCTGACCCAACCTGTAGTTTGAAGCCAAACCCAGACAAAACCAGCATAGATCAACCAACCAAGAGATAATTTGCTGACATATAGGGCAAATGAATTATTATATTTTAAGCCATTGAGTTATGAGATGCTTTACTAAGCCACATTAATGCCCAAAGCTGATTAAATAGACTTTATGATATTAAAAAATGGTCCCATATCCTTAACGATAATAATTATGCTTTTATTAATACTATCTGTTGATAGAAAGGATTACAGTGAAAGCTACTATAAATCCAAAAATAATTATTAAGAAAGCTATATTTTGTTTGTCACAATAGCATTTTTATATATTTAAAAATGTAGTACATACACAAAAAGCTACTATTCAGTCTAGTTAATATTCTTGATATAATTATGGAAAATTAGAACATTTTTTGTGATAATTCTATACTCGCTCCTCATCTATATCCATCCCAATCACCCACCAGTGCCTTCAGGAAGGGATGTCAAAAGCATTGGTTGAAATTCTTTGAACTAGAAAATAGCTTTTAAAACAAATCTCCATAGATATACTACTTTTCCTCAACTGAAGCTTCAAAATTATTTAACAGTCTTGAATTCAACATGATTATCTCGCTAAGAGGACTGTGAAGTATACCAATTATAAGTTGTAAGATAAGAGTGGTGCTAATATTTTTTGATGGTAAGCCAATCTATGAATAAGATTAATATCTTAAAAAAAAACAGAGGAGCTTAACAAAGACGTAGCCACCACTCCTCACTCAGGTATCCATTGATTCATGTACTTTTAAATGCTTATTCAATAAATATTTATGAAGTACCTGTTGGTGCTTAGCAGTGAGGATACATTCCTGAGTAAAATAGATGGTCCTTGTTATCATGGTGCTTAGAGTATTGTGTAAGAGACTATTATAAGCTAAATAGTCACATAAATGTGTAAGTCCAAGCTCTGGCAAATACTCCAACAATAAAAACAATTTAAGAGAATATCAGTGGGGCATCTATCTAATTTGAAGCATCAAAGAAGACTTTCCCAAGGAGGTGACATTTAGTGGTAGTAAAAAGCCATGAGAAGAAAAGGAAGTCTAGGCAAAAGGACTAAAAAGCATATGCAAAGAGCACACAAACAATTGAAATAAGTTGTGTCTGAGGGCCAGAAACAAAGCCAGAGGTATTGAATCTCAGGGAAAAAAGTGAAGAGTGGCATTAAATGAGGCTGCAGAGGAGAAATGATCTGGACTTCACCAGTCCTGTGGGCCAGGAAAAAGGTTTAGGTGTTGATATAAAAGCAGCGGGAAACCATTTTAGGCTTTTAATCAAATTAGTGGCATGATAAAATTTTTACTTTTGTAATAAATGAATTCTTTTTTTTTTTTTTTTTTTTTTGAGACGGAGTTTCGCTCTTGTTGCCCAGGCTGGAGTGCAATGGCGCAATCTTGGCTCACTGCAACCTCTGCCTCCCAGGTTCAAGTGATTCTCCTGCCTCAGCCTCCCTAGTAGCTGGGATTACAGGCATGTGCCACCACACCTGGCTAATTTTGTATTTTTAGTAGAGACAGGGCTTCTCCATATTGTTCAGGCTGGTCTCAAACTCCTGACCTCAGGTGATCTGCCTGCCTCAGCCTCCCAAAGTGCTGGGATTACAGGCATGAGCCACTGCGCCTGGCCTGTAATAAATGAATTCTAATGAGGACAAGCAAATTAGGAATAACAGGAGACCAGGCAAGAGATAAAGATATCTTAGCTGAGAAATGGAATATGTGATATGAAGAGAAGATAACAAATGTGAGATATATTTAGGAAGCAAAGTCAAAGTGGCTTAATGATGGATTGGGAATGGGGTGAAGAAGAAGGAGGTGCAAATAATGGATCTTAGAATTCTGCTTTCATGTAGCAAATATAATCCATTTATTCTACTTACTCACATAGGAAGAGAACCAGAGTTGATGGATTAAATCACAATTTCTGTTTTGAACCTAAAGAGTTCAGAGTACCTTAAAACATCAAATTCATAAGTTATGCATTTGTGGGTCTGAAGCTTAGAGAAGAGCTAGAGGTTTTAAAAGCAAGATAAGAGAATTATTTAGAATGTATATTTTTAAAAAAATACAGCACAGAAAAAAATCAACTAGAAAATGACCAAAATGTCAAGATTTTGGTAATAGGTAGTCATTGGTGATATTTGTGACAGCTATAAGTGGAGTGTGTTTATTTCTTGGAGTAGTAAGAGCTAAAATTGATTAGGAAGAGATTCAGAGTTATGAGGAACATAGAAATGTGGCCAGGTAGCATGAAGGGCCAAGTATGTTGATGACTATATTTAATTCATAGTTACCAATCTACTCTATTTTTAATTTTTTCAGTAGTAATTAGCTACCTGAAGGTTGAGCTCAAATATCTCTTCAGAGAAGAAATTTTGTGGAAAAACATAGTATGTTTTGGTTTGTTTTGATGTACTGATAAAAACATATCAAGGATCTACCATCCTTTTCCAAAGAGCAAGTGTTCAAAAAAGTCATCTCATTGGAGGTACCCAGTAAGAAAATGGGCGTTATTTGCTGGCAAAGTGCTTTTCCCTTTAAAATCATTTTGAATTCCCAAGGAAGGAGGAATACTTTGGCAATTCACACATGGACATAATTCCCTGGCTTGATTAACAATTTTTGTTACCTACCTCTTCCCTATAAGCATTGGAGTATATAATCTATTACCTACAATATAGTTGCCATCACATTGTCTTGAGTAAACAGTTAAATGAGGTATAATTCATTGAAAAAAGAAGACATGTCATTAAATAAGTGGATGTTTAACTTCCCAGCATAAATGAATGTACTTAAGTAAAGGGATGAGATTATTAATCACATGCCAGATAAATATTATAGATGTTAATAAAAAATAATGACGATAATTTTAGAATAAAATGCAGGCCTTCTCCATCACTTCACTTTTTGACATTATTTAAATTGTTGGGCAAGTTATCTATTGAGATAGGAAGAATTCTAAGACCACACCAATAACCTATGCTCTTGTATAATCAATCCACTTCCCGTGTGAGTGAAACCTAATGAGTGTACTGGGATATCCTTACCATGATTACATTATATAATGTGGTAAAAGACATTTTGAAGATGTAATTTAGGCCAGTTGACTTTGAGTTGATAAAAAGATTTTCTCTGGTGGGCCTGACCTAATCAGGTGAGTCTCTTAAAAAATACAGTGAGAGAGATTCTCCTACTGGCTTTAATGTAATAAGTTACCATCTTGTGAGAAGGCCATGGCTAGGACTTAGAGGCAGCCTCTAGGAGCTGAAAGCAACCCTAGTCAACAGCCAGGAAGAAAATAGGGACCTCAGTCCTACATGGCCAAAAAAACTAAATTCTGCAAACAACCTGAATGAGCTTGGAAGAGGAATACAGGCTCCAGTTGAAAATGCAGGACAGCTTACACTTTGATCTTGGTCTATGAGACTCAGCAAAGAGCCCAGCTGCAGTGTGCCTAGACTTCTGACCTATACAAACCATGATATAATAAATGAATGTTGTTTTAAGGCATTGCTTCTGATCATTTGTATGCAGCAATAGAAAATTGATACATGTATTACGTCCACATCCATTTTGTAATGATTAATCCATAACATTCTTCCACATGAGAATTATCACTTCTGTTTTCTACTTAGAAATCATTATAGAATATCTGTTAAATTTTAGAAACTAATTTTGATCTCAAGAAAATTAAGAAGCAATAAAAAATATTCACAGGCCACTTATTCACTTATTTATTTAAAAACATTGTAGGTTTTTTTTTTTAAAAAAACCTATAGGAACCCATGGGGTCCTATAAGGAGATGGGAGTGTAGGTGGAAGTGAGAAATGTATAATCTTACAATGTAAGAATAGCTACTTCATCACATAAGCCAACAAAAATGTTGACCATGCTTTTTAGCACCAAAATGGTAACATCTGGATATATATGAGTGGTAGCAATATAAATGCGCATTCAAATCTTTACATCCTGTAATTAAATATCAGGCTGTACTGAGAAGCCAGTCATGGCCATCAGATTTTCATTGCCTATATAGGGTATCAAAAAGTAGTAATTTCAAAGTACTCATCTGGGCTTTTCCAATCACCACTTTCCTGTGCATCACAGAACTTTACAGTTTCTAAATGCAACTCAGAAAAACCCTTTTAACTTCTCAGTATAAAAAGGTAGCAGAAATTCTTCACAAATATCATACACTGTGGTAAAATAAACATTCTTAATAACACTTTGGGCTTTTTATATTGCTTCAATAGATAGTAAGCTATTATTAGTTATCTCTGAACTTGTTTGATTTAGAAATAATTTGATATGTATTTTAAGGAATTATTGGCTTATAGGAACTTCTGAGAAGACAGAAGAATATGTTATGGTTACACCTTTGATTATAGTCCTTGCAATTGGAAACAGTGTTAAATTGCTGACTTATTACTTAAAATATAAATTATGCATTTTTCTTACACTAGACCTCAGATAGTTATGCAGGGAAGAGAATGGGGTAGTTTAGAGCAAACCTCATGAACAAACTCTCATTTCTATATAAAGAATAATTACTTATAATAATTACTTTGGAAGTGAGCACCTGGCTTTCTTTCCAAAATTTGTATTAGTCAGCGTTATTTCTCAAAATTTTTATTAGCATTAGTCAGCTTATCTCAATACCCAATATCTCAATGGCTTATGACACCTAGCCTGCAGGAGCAGTCTCTGTGTGGGACATGTGTATTTTCACAGTAGAGGACAAGAGAAAGGGCTGAGAGAAACCATGCAACAGTATTAAAAGCTTCTGCTCAGACATGGTGTATGTCACATTGGCTGAAGTTCCATTAGCAAAAGTAAGTCATATAATCAAACCATAGTGCAATGACGCAGGGACAGCTTCTTTTCACAGGAGGGGAAATGACAAAGCAATGGGTAGAGATGTATAATCTTACTGAGATGGGGGATTGAATAACTATAAACAATAGTACAATCAAACTTAGAATTGAGAGAAACAAGTATCAGCAGATGGATGGATATGAAAATTTATATTATAGATATAGATATATCAATAATATATATATATATCATATAATAATATCCTAATATGAAAGAATTGTTAGCTACTATTAGATAGATACTTAGATATTAGTCATAATATTGTATCATATACTTGAATATTATTCAGTCTTAAAATAGGAGATTCTGACATTTTTGACAACATGGTGAACCCAATGGGCATTATACTAAGGGAGACAAGCCAGACACAGATAGAAAAATACCGCATGAAAATAGTTGAACACATAGAAGCAGAGAGCAGAATGGTGGTTACCAGGGGAGGGGACAGTGGCAGGATGGAAATGGGGAAATGGAGGTCAAAGGGTACAAAGTTGCATTTACATGGAATGAATAAATCTAAGAGACTTAATGTACAATATTAGTTAATAACAGTGTATTATATATACTGGTAATTTACCAAGAGAGTAGTTTTTTAGGTACTCTTACACACACACACACACACACACACACACACACATGAACACACACAGCAAGAAAGTAACTATATGGGATGATGGGTATGTTGATTTGTTTGACTGAAGTAATCAGTTCACTATGTATTTGCATGTCAAGGTAAGCATATGACAATATTTAAATACAATTTTTAAAAAACCTTTCTTAACAAAAAACAAAAAAATTAAAAATGTTGTCTGAATATATTGTACCTTTTTATAACCTCTTCCAATAAAAATATATTTAAATATTAGTCCTTTTAAAGAGGTTCACTATCTCATAGAGATATTTATACATTTACAGGTCAAACTCAACATTTTTCAAACTTTGGATCATAAATAGCAAGGAGAATTAAGGTATAAACAACTGTCAAATAACTTCTATTCAAGTACCATGGAGAAAAATAGGTGTAAAATATCCTCAGAAGATGAAAACATATTATTTTTAGGAAAAATCAATGAACACATAAGTTTCAAAAGCAAAATGTGAATATTCACACATTTTAAATTAATTTAAAGTAAAAATCAAATATCACTGAAATCATGACATAATATGTCATTTCCAACAATTCATTTACTTGACCATTTTACTCTGAAAAAAAAAATGCTAACCACTATTTCCTGACTACTTTAATTTCAGGCGGACCGGCCAGATAAAGGATGCAATCTTCAAAAGTATGCCAGGAATGACTCTAGGTATATCCTTAAGAAATGTATTGCTAAATGTTAAATTTTGTTGGGAATTTTCAACATCATAGATTATGTTTAATACAAAAAGAGAGCCTGTTATATTGTGTAACAAGTATTTTTAAAAACTTGTTTAAGTAATATATCTAATAGCACTGTGTAAAAAATATATCTCATCAACTTATAAATTCACATTGAATTTGTTTTCATTTAAAAAAAAGGTATGTTTACCTTTGGGGCCTGAAAAAAAAATTTCATAAATTTTAAAATAATATAATGTTATCTTATAATCTGATATAATTTTATCTTATAATCTAAATAATCTTAAAAATTATTTAAAATAATTTTACCTTATAATCTGATATCTATTTCTAAAACATTTTCAGAATAGTAGCCTATAATATTATCTTTATAAAATAACATGTGCTTGTATATCTGTGTGAGTGTATGTGTACCTACAATAATGTGTATCAGCAAATGATAATTTTAGTTACTATTTACTGGAAAGTAGAATGGGTGGGAGATAGGATCAAGAGTTTTAAAAATATGTTTTTGTATTGTTTTAAGCAAGGAGAATACATTCATTTTCTAATAAATATGTCAAATTAAATGTCTAAATCAGAAAGAAAATTTTGTACATACTTTTTGTCCTTCACAGTTCAGTTTGAATTTTAGTTCAGTATAGATCCTTGTGAAATTATTAAAATCTTCAAATAACAAAATAACTATTTTTTAAATAATAACTCTAGATCCAGAATGTAAGGATGTTAAAAGATACATGTAAGAATATTTTTGTTTTATAGGTAGTTTAATCTCAAAAGGTCTCACTTGGTCTCAGTATTGTGAAGTCATCAGTGTTATTTCAAGAGCACTATGAACATTTCTGAATATGTTATATTGCAGAAGAAAAAAAACGTATCTAACCAATTCTCCAACTGTGAAAAATTCATGTAGTTCTCAAACAGTTTTTTCATACTTATCTGGATGTTACCTAAATTATTTGTTATACTAAAATTATTTTAATGTATTTGTTTAAAGTATGCTATGGTATTTTACTTAAAACTATAGCATTTATGGAATATATTTGGAATTTATTTGGTAAAGAAAATTTACTCTGTAGCCTTTAAATGTCATACTTTTTATGAATTTTGCTAAAGATACATTCAAATTTGTATAAGGAACCAGGGACCTCCTGGGAAGAAAGGGAGGCCAAATTGGCCTCCTCTTTCCCACAAATTCAAGGCTACTAAACTAGTTAGAACTGGTCTCTCCCAAAGCCAGTATCTGGCAAGAGTAGTTGGCCTCAAAGCGGGAAAGATATGCTAAGGCACAAAGCAGATGAATTATGGCTTGAAGTCTCTCAGGACAGACACTAAAACCTTTCTCAAATGCATCATCCTGGAAGAAAGCAATTTTTAAAGAGGAGAGCTTAAGAGCAAAGGCAATAATTTTTTTAAAGAGCTGCAGCTTGGGGAACTCAGTTCATTTTTGACATTAGCTCAACTTTGGCAAAGTATAACACTGGTTTTCGAAAGATGGTCCCACCTAGTACTTTATGGGAACACTGAAACCCAGAAGTGCACTCTATCAGTTATGTTGGCAGCAAACTGACTGTGAGGTTTCCATCCAACCTTCCTTCCTTGGATATAACATGGAGTGACACAAACATTACCCCAGCAGAATCAGCAGCACCTGTCAACAGAGGCCTCTTCAGACTATGTGTTTCAAAGCCTGTGCCAGGCTCCTGCTGTGGAAGCAGAACAGGACTGAGCTGCTGAGCTGCATCCTTCTGAAGCAACCAGCTTCAGGTATGATTGGGAAGTCCTCCTGCTCAAGGGGGCAAGTATTCTCAAGGCCAAGCATTGAGTTCAGAGAAGGTGCAAATGTGATGGACCCTTCAGATAGGAGAAAGCCCAGTATGGATCTGGGGGTTTCTAAGATATTGACATTGGGAAAGCAGGTTGAGAAGATACAAGGACAGGATACTAGGCTTTCTGCTAAAATGTAGAATATTGCATGTGTTACAGTTTGGAAGCCCTATTGTTTATAAATTGAACCATTATTTACAATAATGTTCATAACAACCTAATTATGTAGACACTATTATCCCCATTTTATAGCAGGAAGAAACAAAAGTATGAGTTTTGCTAACATGCCTAAGGCTGCACAAGCAGCAGCAAGCATACAGCTTAGGACTTAAATTAAGATTTATCTGATTTAAAGTCTCCTCAGTTTTCAGAACCACAGGGTAAAGAATGTATATTCTATTATAACCATAATTCTAAATATTGAAATGCAGACTTTGATAAGTAGAATGGCTTGTCTCAGAGCTCAAACCTTAGCAAGTAGCAAAGCCAAGACAAAAACACAGGTTTTCCCATGGTTGACACTACATTTCATTGGCTCTTTAAGTCATTTATTAAATTATTTTCCTGATTACTTATTAACAAAGAACCTTAGAATGTATTGCATACATTCTCGTTTAGTATGATTATCCCCCATGGTCTTAGATTTTTGAAATCCAAATTTCCTAAGAGTAAACACTGGGACACTGTTTACTGTCAGATATGCTTCACCAAGTGCATATTTTAGGTGAAAGAAAAATAAAAGCTTTTGTCCAACAGGAGACCTCCATGTTTGCACTGAAGTTCAGTTTTACTGGTTGCTGAAAGTGCAACTTTATCACATAGTCATCATTGTTTTCTTATGTTCTTGAACCACAGAAAGAGAATCATTAATCTAGTGGGGCTTGTGACAATTTATCTTCAAAGACTTCGAGTAGTGTAGAGTCTATCAAAAGATTAATAAACCTGGAGTGCAATTTTGGTTGAATTAGCAAACTGTCCAAAGTAATTGATTTGGCTTAATACAAATCCTTATTTATGAAAGTATAAATTTCACAAAAAATCAGAAAACTGGCAAAATGCCTCAGACTTTGAAATGTTTACAAGTTTAGGTCTTTGAGAATGTAAAATTAGTACCTATGGTTAAAATACCTTTAATCCTGAGAGTTTTAAGGATTAAAAATAATACTAATTAATTTTAAAAGCTTTGAGCTTAAAATTAATACTTAATATGGTACTTAAAGCATATATTTTCTTTATTTCATTTTCCTAAATAGTTTTTACAATTAATACTAAGTATTTTTATCAATTTTTACCAGAGAAAAGAAATCAAATATGAAGGAGTTTGTTAGGACATTTTTCTATGTTTACAATGTGTAGGTCTCAGTTAAAAATTGTTCATCTTATGTATCAATATCTATTTTTTAATCACTTCACCAATTGCAATTTGTGATAAGTTAATTTCTAGAAGATGACTTTATTTCATACCCTGAATGTCAGCCAAGCTTTTAGATAAGGTCAAATCATTTTATTCTAATCAAAATTTTGCAGCATCTGAACAATGAGATCTAATTTGCTTTGACAAAATAAGACCTCAGAGTCACAGCAGCATAGCCAGTTTAAGCATGTCAACTAATATACCCTTTTCCTTTCAGCAAACATTAATTAAGACCTACTATCAGCCAGGTATTGTAGTTGGCACTTATGGTACCAAAAACAAATAAGATTAAGTCCTTTCTTCACAAGGCATATTGTCTAGTGAGAAGGCATAAATATGAAAAAACAATTATAAATGATAGAAGTACAGTGATACAGTAAAATACAAAATGCTGTGTAAGCATACGGAAGAGATGGTGTATTAGTCTGTTTTTGCACTGCTATGATGAACTACCTGAGACTGGGTAATATATAAACAAAAGATATTTAACAGACTCACAGTTCTGCATGGCTAGGGAGGTCTCAGGAAGCTTACAATCATGGCAGAAGGCAAAGGGGAAGCAAGGCATGTCTTACATGGCAGCAGGAGAGAGAGCGAGAGAAGGGGGTAATGCCACACTTTTAAACCATTAGATCTTGTGAAAACTCACTCACTATCTTCTGAACAGCATGGGAGAAACCACCTCCATAATCTAATCACCTCCCACCAGGTTCCTTTCTCAACAAATGGGGATTATAATTCCAATGAGATTTGAATGGCGACACAGAGCCAAACCATATCATCCCACCCTTGACCCCTTCCAAATCTCATGTCCTTCTCACATTTCAAAACACAATCATGTCTTCCCAATAGTCCTGCAAAGTCTTGACTCATACCAGCATTAACTCAAAAGTCCATAGTCTAAAGTTTCATCAAAGACAAGGCAAGTTATTTCTCCCTATGAGCCTGCAAAATCAAAAACAAGTTAGTTACTTCCAAGATACAATGGGGTAAAGTATTGGGTAAATGTTCCCATTCCAAATGGGAGAAATTGACCAAAACAAAGGGGCTACAGGCCCCATGCAAGTCTGAAACCCAAAAGGGCAGTAATTAAATCTTAAAGCTCCAAAGTAATCTCCTTTGACTCCATGTCTCATACCCAGGGCACATTGACACAAGAGGTGGGCTCCCAAGGTCTTGGGCAGCTCCACTCCTGTGGTTCTGCACAGTACAGCCCCAATGGCTGCTCTCATGGCCTGGTGTTGAGTGCCTGTGGCTTTTCCAAGTGGATGGTGCAAGCTGCCAGTTGAGCTACCATTTTGGGGTCTGGAGGTAGTGGCCCTCTTCTCACAACTCCACTAGGCAGTGCCCCAGTGGGAACTCTGTATGGAGGCTCCAACCCCACATTTCCCCTCTGCATTGCCCTAGTAGAGGTTTTCCATGAGAGCTCTGCCCCGGCAGCAAACTTCTGCCTGGACATCCAGCCGTTTCTATACGTCCTCTGAAATCTATGCAAAGGTTCCCAAACCTCAATTTTTGCCCTCTGCATACCTCAGGCCCAACATCACGTGGAAGTTGCCCAGGCTTAGGGCTTGCACCCTTTGAAGCAATGGCCCGAGCTGTATGTTGGCCCCTTTAAGCCATGGCCTGGACACGAGGCACCCAGTCTCAAGACTGCACAAAGTAGCAAGGCCCTGGGCCCTGCCCAGGAAACCATTTTTCCTTCCTAGGCCTCTGGGCCTGTGATGGGAGAGGCTGCCATAAAGATCTCTGAAATGCTCTGGAGACATTTTGTCCCCATTGTCTTGGAGATTAACATTTGGCTCCTGGTTACTTAGGCAAATTTCTGCAACCAACTTGAATTTCTCCACAGAAAATGGGTTTTTCTTTTCTATGACATGGTCAGGCTGCAAATTTTCCATACTTTTATGCTTTTCTTCTCTTTTAAACATAAACTCCAATTTCAGACCATCTCTTTGTGAATGTATATGACTATACGCTCAGAAAAAGCCAGGTAACATCTTGAACACTTTGCTGCTTAGAAATTTCTTTTGCCAGATACCCTAAATCATCTCTCTCAATTTCAAAGTTTCACAGATTTCTCAGGCAAGGGCAAAATGCTGCCAGTCTCTTTGCTAAACCATAGCAAGAGTGACCTTTACTCTAGTTCCCAGTAAGTTCCTCATCTCCGTCTGAGACCACCTCAGCCTGGACTTCATTGTCCATATCACTATCAGCATTTTGGTCAAAACCATTCAACAAGTCTCTAGGAAGTAACAAACTTTCCCACATCTTCCTTTCTTCTCCTGAGCCCTCCAGATTATTTCAACCTCTGCCTGTTTCCCAGTTCCAAAGTTGCTTCCACATTTTCAGGTATCTTTATAGCAGTACCCTACTCTCCCGGTACCAATTTTCTGTATTAGTCCATTTTCAACTGCTATAAAGAACTACTTGAGACTGGGTAATTTATAAACAAAAGGGGTTTAATTGACTCACAGTACCGCATGGCTGGGGAGGCCTCAGAAAACTTCCAATCATAGCTGAAGGCAAAGGGGAAGCAAGGCATGTCTTACATGGTGATAGGAGAGATAGTGGGAGAAAG
Source organism: Homo sapiens (assembly GCF_000001405.40). Lineage (NCBI taxonomy): Eukaryota > Metazoa > Chordata > Mammalia > Primates > Hominidae > Homo > Homo sapiens. The sequence continues at coordinate 115,199,619 of NC_000006.12, forward strand.
GAGAAGTGCTACACTTTTAAAGCATCAGATCTCATGAGAATTCACTCACTATCATGAGAACAGCATGGAGGAAACTGTCCCCATGATTCAATCACCTCCCACCACGTCCCTCCCTAGGCAAATGGAGATTACAGTTCAAGATAAGATTTGAGTGGGGACACAGAGCCAAAGTATATCAGAAGGCTATCCAAATATAGTCTCCCAAGAGCTGTCAGAGAGGAGGAGGTGTTGACTACCTAGCTTATTCACAAGAAAGAAGAGGTAACAGCACTACATTAAGAGGTAAGGTCATTCTAGACAGAGGATGCATTAGTTTGTTTTGCATCACTATAAAGGAATACCTGCAACTGAGTAATTTATAAAGTAAAGAGGTTTGATTGGCACACAGTTCTGTAGACAGTACAGGAATCATGGCATTGGCATCTACTCAGCTTCTGGTAAGGGCTCAAGAAGCTTTCAATCATGATGGAAGGCAAGTGGGGAGCTGGTGTATCACCTGGCAAGAAAGGGTGCAAGAGAGAAGGGGGAGGTCTTATACTCTTTTAAACAACCAAATCTCACATGATCTAACTGATAACTCACTCATCACCAAGAGGAGGGCACCAAGCCATTCATGAGGGATCTGTCTCCATGATCTAATATCTCCCAATAGGCCCCACCTCCAACACTGGGGATCACATTTCAACATGAGATTAAGAGGGGACAAATACCCAAACTATATCATAGAAGACGACATGAGCAATCCTACAGATGCCAAATGTGGAATTATGAGTGCTGAGATGCTGTGGCCAAAATTAGTCAAAGAAATAAACATAAACTTCAGTCCAGGAAGCAGCTGGAATTGTGGTGGCTGAATTGGCAGACAGTAAATCAAGGCATAAATTTGTGCTAAGGAACTGAAAATTTGTCTATGGGAGGTATTAGCTTTTTTTCTTTTAATCACTCAGGAACTCTGGGAAGAATGGTCTAAGAGTAACAGGACTGTGAGCAGTGGGATAACAATGAAGATTGTCTCAGTCCAAATGAAGTTCTTGTTTGGGGCAGTGATAGCAAGGTGAAGAGGATTTGATAGATTTTGAAGGTACTTCAGAGGATAGCTCAACAGCATTTGGAGTTGGAATTTATAAGAACAGGGAAAAGGGGCTAAAGTTCAGAATTATTATCTTGCTTTGTTTAATTTCTGTATCTTTTTTACCCTGATTTTATAACTACACATTGTATGCATGTATCAAAATATCACATGTATACTATAAATATGTACAATTATTATCTATCAATAAAAATAAAAATAATTTCTGTATTTTTATTGTGGTATGATTATACATAGTAAAATACTGAGATTTTAAGAAAAAAGTTTAATAAGTTTTGAAAAACATACATACCTGTGTAACCCACAACCAATCAAGATATAGTACATCCCCAGCTCCTCAGAAAGTCCCCTTCTATCCCTTTTCTGCCAATCTCTCACCTCCGATATAGAGCCACAGTTCTGATTTCTATCTCCTTGGGTTAGTTTGGTTTGTTCTTTAATGTTTTCATGTGTGTCTAGATGCTTTTTCTCAGCATGCTTTTGAGATTAATTCCCGTTGCTGAGTGTTCAAGTAGTCCATTTCTTTTTATTGCCGAGTAGAATTCTACTGTATAAGTGTACTACAAGTTGTACATCCATTTTTCTGTTGATGGGTATTTAGGTTATTTACATATTTTTGTTGCTATTTGCTCTGAGACTTTCTCTTTTATTCATGGATTATTTAGAAGTGTGTTTTTTAGTTTCCAAGTCTTCAGAGATTTTCCTTTTAAGTTAACCATATTTATTCCTAGTGTGATCCCGTTGTGTTCAGAGAATACAATGATATCATTCCTTTTAAATTTGTTGAGCTTTGATTTATGGCCCAATATTGTCTACTTCAGTATCTGTTCCATGACTACTTGAAAAAGTGTATTTTCTGCTAATGATTAGTGGAGTATTCTATAACTGTTGATTGGACCTTTTGGTCAATAGTTTTGAGTTCTTCTATGGCCTTGTTAATTTTCTGTTCAGTTGTTCTATCAATTGGTAAGAGGGGGAAATGACATCTCCAACAATGATTATGGATTTCTCTATTTATCTTTTCAGTTCTATTACTTTTAATCATTTTTATAATTTATTAATTGTGGTAAAGATCTATCACTTTTTGCTTAATATATTTTGTACCTCTGTTGTTTGGCACAAATACATTTAAGATTGCCTTGTCTTGATAAATTTACTTTTTTCATTATATAAAATCCCTTTCTGACCACAGTAAATTTATTTGCTCTGAAGTCTCTTTATTCGATATCAATATAACTAATCTTCCTTTTTTGATTAATATTTTATATATATAAAAAACTCTATATATTATATATGCATATATAATATATATTTCCATTCTATATTTTTAACTTATCTATGTCATTATATTTGAAGTGAATTTCTTATACACAGCATATAGTTCATTGTATTTTTAATTTTTGTCAATTTCTGTCTTTATACACTTAATGTAAGTGCTGATATCTTAGGATTTAATTGTACCACTTTATTTTTGTTTTGTTTTGTTTTGTTCCACCTCCCTATGGGTTAAGCTTTTGATCTGCTTTTTAATAAATCTCTTTGTATAGACCTTTTCTGATATTATCCAATGGAGAGAGGTGCCTTGTTACTGCTGGGTGGGGACAGAAGTCTAGGCTCCACATGTGGTCTCTACTGCCCAGCTGGGCTCAGGAATAGAGAGGTGGTGGTTCACTACTGGACAACAGAGATGAATTCTCAGCTACCTACTTGGCCTTCTCTGAAATAACCACAACAGTGGTTTTGGACTATCTCAGTACAACCTTGTGATGGTGGAAGTCTAGGGTTTCATCTGGCTTTTGCTTTCATGGGAGAGGGGAATAAATTGTGTTTTAATCTTAGACTAAAAGTTGTATACAAAGCTACACTGCCCCTTTCTGGTCCTTTGATTAAAGAGAGCAGGTTTGTCAGAGCTTTTGTAGTTTGTGCCTGTTGACATTTCTGAGTTGTCAACTTCTTCAACTCTATGTCTGAGATCTCTAAGATAAAAAAGAAAACCCAAGGGAATTAACAACTGTGTCCCTAGCCAGCCTCTCTTCCCTCTACCTTTCAGAACCTTCTTGTGTTTGTTTTCTTCTCTATATTGCATGCAGGGATTTTATTTGTACTTAGTTTTCTTGAAGCAGAACTACTTCATTCTTTTTTATATTTTTCATCTCTTCTGAGATGTCCACATTTGTTTACTAATTCTTTACACCTTTTCCTACATATTTATAAACCTTTTTGCAATAGTTGTTTTAAAGTCCTTGTCTGCTAGTCCCAATAACTGGATCATCTGGAGATTGAACTTGTTAATTTTATTCTTGATTGTGTATCACATTACTTGCTTCTTTGTAGTTTCTATGCTTTAAAGAATTGCATTGGATATTTTATATAGGAGAACAATGATGATGCAGGTATAGTAATATTTTGTGTTTTATTCCTCAGACAGGGTGTGCTCATTTTTATATGTTGCACCTAAGCTATTGAGCCAAGAGTCTAGCTCATCTGGGACTGAGCCATAACACTAGGAAGAGTGAGCTTACTTTCAGTTAACCCAACTCTTAACACCCCACGCTGCCACTGTTGCTGGGAGGCAATAGCCTCTTTGACCTTAGCACTGTTTTAGCCTGCAACCAGGGGTCTTATTGAGCCAAAGTATTACCTTTAGATTAAACAGTTCCAAACATTGAGAAATTGCATGAGGATTTCCACGCTATTTCTCCTGTTCAGTCCCAACTTTACTGCCTTTTTCTCAGCAACATTGAGATAAGTTAGAGTTAGAATACCAAGCAAAATATTGTCACATTTTATGACATTGTAGACTTCAATATTTCCCACCTGCTGCTGCCATCAACAATAGCTTGGCTGGCCTCTTTTAGACCCGGAAAATGACTCTGTTTTTGGCACGCTTTCTCATCCATCTGTCAAAGACATGAAATTCGTCCCCAGTTGTGCTGTGAAGGGAGTTTATGTCTGAAAATCTGTTCAGAAGACTTTCTTCAACAGAGTGAAGGTCTTCTGGGGATTTTACATATTAATAATTAATGGTTGTTTTATTTTACTTTTTTCTTTTATTCATTCTTTATATACATATATAATAAATTCTATAATAATCATATATATATACGTAAGTATGTCTATGGGGCAAGTTTTACAAGATTCTCTTGTAAAAATTGAAAATGTTTTGTATTAGTTGGGAAAATATTTAAGAAAATTCGATTTAAAAAATATGTGCATTATGTTTGTGTTACATATATTAGAATACATATTAATTTGCTTGTTAGGAGCCAGTTTGTGAGCCAAAATGTTGAATTTGAAGTGCCTGAGTCTTCCAGGTAGAAGAAAACACCTCACACAAGTGCCATCCCAATCTGAAGCCAAGCACAGGTGTGAGAAGCTGTGAAATAGTTCATTTGGAGAGCTGGAAACAAGGCTATGAGTTAATGGATATTTTTAAATGTCTTTTGTTCTTAATGGGAGGCACTCCATAATATTGCCAAAATTACTACACCACAAATAAAACTTATATTTTTATTGTTTTAGATAACAGAAGGAATATAATGAAAATACTCTACATCTATTTCAAAACACCTGCAAACTTTATCTTCTTGAAGAATCTCTCCTTTCCACTTTTCACCATTTGTTTCCTCTTGTCTAGTGCTAATAACTCTGTAAGTTCCCTAGATGTCTTATTGACTTTCTCCTTTAGTGACCAGGTTTCATCAGTTTCCTCTTCTACTCTCTCTCTCTCTCTTTAGCATTTTAAAAATCACCTCCCTTTCTGGTTATTTTCCACAATCCTTAATTCTCATTCTTAAATCAAAAAATGTTCTCAATTTTTTCATCTAGAAAAGAAACAAATGAGTTTCCCCTTCAGGTCATGACTAAGTTTCTATCAGACCAACTCTTAAGTACATACAAATAATGAACGCTGGATAAAATACATAAAACAACTACCTGCATGCACTGAAGAATATAGGGAGATTAACATTTAGAAGAAGGGAAGAGCAAAGGGGAAGTCTTCCATATTTTTAGATCTTTTTTTTTTTTTTACAGCTTTTGACCAGAGGGCAGAGTAAATCAGGTAGGCGACAACAGAGTGTAGGAACTTTGATATAAAAACCTATATTTTACTGGCACAGAGAGCTTGAAGACAGATTGCATTGCAAATGTAGATACTAGAAATTGAGATGTGAATCTCAAAAACAAGAGGTCAAGGAAGGAGGAGTCCAAATTCTGTACATAAGCTCTGCCTCACTCTCTTAACTACCTGTGTGCAGGAGGAAAAAAAGTGAACTTACATTTGACGTGCTGTTCATTGCAGATGGCAGGGGCAGTTTCCAATTTTAGCTCATCCAAATTAATTGCCTCTTTAAGGGAAAAAAAAGAAGCAATTATTCTTTGGCAGAACACAATAAAATGTAGATGCTAAAATGCATCATTCACAGTATATAAGATACAATCAAAAATTACTTAAAAATACAAGAAACTGGAAATCATAAATGATCCTCAAAAAAAAAAAAATCAATGAAGACCAATGCCAAATGACCCTGATGTTAACACTAGCAGATAAGAATTTTAAGGTGACCATTATAACCATGCTCAATGGGATAAGAAAAAAAAATGGAGTTTTTTTTGTAATGAGTAAAACAGACAATAAATCTCAGAAATGAAAAAGGAACTATTAAAATGCAAATTTAAAAACTGACAGAAAATACCAGAAATTGCTTTTTAAGTCACTCAGCAGACTTAATAGCAGAATAAAGATACTAGAGGAAAAAATGAACTAGAAAATCAATCAACAGAAATTATGTAACATTTAAAGTAAAAAAAAATTGAAAAAAATTTAATAGAGCATTGGAGATGTGTGGAATATTAAAAGGTCAAATATATATGTAGGGTCCCAGAAAGAGAATATAGGATGTGGGACAGAAAAAAAAATTTGAAGAAATAATGTCTGACAATTTTACTAATTTCTGAAACATGTAGATGTACTAATTCAATAAGATCATCAAGCCCAAAGCAAAACAAATACAAAGAAAATCACAAGTATGATAGTCATTTCAAAGTGCTAACTACCAAAGATAAAGCAAATATCTTTAAACTAATCTGATAAAACTCACTTAAGTGGAAACAACTTGAATACAGCTGACTTCTCCTCAGAAGGAATGAAGGACAGAAGACAGTGAGGCAATATCCTGATGGTGCTAGGGGAAAACAAAAACAACAACAATAAACATTTTACCTAGCATTTTCTATCAAGGGAAAATAACCTTAAAATAGCAGCAAAATAAATATATTTTTGGATTAAAAATCTAAGAATTTTCACCAAAGACCGATCTGCATTATCACAAATTCTAAAAGCCTTGACCCTCACAAAGGAATGAAAGAGCATTGAAAATGGCTAGTATCTTGGTAAAATTAAGGACAATTTGTCCTCCCAGTCTACTTTTTTGGCTGATTTAAAGCAAAACTTATAATCCTTTGGGGATTATATGTTCTTATAATGTATATGACAACCGTAGTGTAAAGGGTAGGGGAATTAAATGAACTACAAAATTGCAGGATTTCTACATTACAGATGAAGTGCCTGAATTCATGACCTGGGTATGCATTAGACTGTCATTACACTCTTAGGTATTCACCCAAGAGAAATGAAAGCATATGTCCACACAAAGGTTTGTAACATGAATGTTCGTAACAGCTTTACTTGCAGTGGCCCCAAAATGGAAACAAGTCAAATGTCTATCAAAAGGTGAATGAATAAACAAATTATATCATATCCATAAAATAAAATTTAATTCAATATAGTAAGAAAGTACTCATTATTTTAATAGATTCAAAAGTAAAATTCTTGTGAACAAGGAATCCAAGAAATTTCCTTAATGTAAAAAAGTCATTGTCAAAAATCCTACAGCTATAATTGTACTTAGGGATGAAATAGGGTAGGCTTTTCCTCAAAGATCTGGAACAAGGCCAAGAAGCTCACTCTTAACAATTCTAACTAACATGATACTAGAGTTTGCCTAAATGTTGTAATAAGGCAAGAAACAGGCCAGGCGCGGTGGCTCATGCCTGTAATCCCAGCACTTTGGGAGGCCGAGGCGGGCGGATCACAAGGTCAGGAGATCGAGACCATCCTGGCTAACACGGTGAAACCCCGAGTCTACTAAAAATACAAAAAATTAGCTGGGCATGGTGGTGGGTGCCTGTGGTTCCAGCTACTTGGGAGGCTGAGGCAGGAGAAGGGTGTGAACCCAGGAGGCGGAGCTTACAGTGAGCAGAGGTTGCGTCACTGCACTCCAGCCTGGGTGACAGAGTGAGACTCTGTCTCAAAAAATAAATAAATAAATAAATAAGGCAAGAAGCAGATATTAGAATCGGAAAGATTGAGAAGAAAAATTTAAGAAGATCTCTATTGGTAGATTTCAAGATTATTTATGTAAAATGTATAAGGTGTTTGTAACCACTAGAATTAATACACTAATTTATGAAGTTAACAGAATAAAAGTCTAATAAGCTAAGATTAATTTTATTTAATATATTTTAACACAGAACTTGGAAATAAAAATGTTTCAATATTTAATTTTCAAAAGTGTCAAAAAATTAATTTGTGATATTAAAGACTATGCTGAAAAACTGCAAAATTTGTTGAGAAAAAATAAGGAAGATCTAAATAGGAAGATGCATCCTATTTATCAATTGAAAATCTGTGCATTGTTAATATCAGTTCTCCCCACACTGATCTATAAATTTAAAGTTTTGTGATTATAACCATAGTAGGCTTTTTTCTTTATGAATTCACAATCTGAGTCTAATATTCATACAGAAATGCAAATGGTTTATTTCCAAAGCAGTCATGAAAAACAATAGTTTGAGGACTCCTGCTATCTGACTTTAAGACTTGTGTAAAAAAGACAGTATGCTACTTTCAAAGGATAAATAAACATATCAATGGAACATAGTAGTCTAGAAATTGCAGAATTAGTCACTCATGGGTACACTGATTTGATGTTTAAAAAAGCTTGCAAAGAAATCCAATGGAGAGGAATGTCCGTTTACCAAATGCTGCTAGAAAACAAGCAGATATCGATAGAGAAAACAATGATAATTGACCACCACCTCATTTCATACACAAATATTAAATTGAGATTAATCATAGACCAAAAGACAGAAGCTATAATTATTAAGTTTTTAAGAAAAAATATCACAGGAGAATATCGTCACACCAAGGGATATACAGATATTTCTTTTTTTTTTTTTTCTTTTTTTTTTTGAGACAGTCTCGCTCTGTCGCCAGGCTGGAGTGCAGTGGCACAATCTCGGCTCACTGCAACCTCTGCCTCCCGGGTTCAAGCTATTCTCCTGCCTCAGCCTCACGAGTAGCTGGGATTACAGACGCATTCCACCACATCCAGCTAATTTTTGTATTCTTAGTAGCGATGGGGTTTCAACATATTAGCAAGGATGGTCTCGATCTCTTGACCTTGTGATCCGCCCATGTCAGCCTCCCAAAGTGCGGGGATTACAGGCTTCCAGATGTTTCTTAAACACAGAAAGCAATAAGCATAAAAGAGCAAAAAAGATGAAAATAAAAATCAATAATTCCTATTCATAAAAATAGATAACTAAGAAAAGTAAATAGCCACAAACTGGCAGAAAATATTTGCAAAATATATATTTAACAATGAACTAATATCCAGGATACTTAAGTCTTATAAGTCAATAATAAAAATATGAAGAACCAAATTTAAAATGGGTAAACATTTGAACAGATATTTCATAAAGGAATATATGTGATAGGGCCAGGTATAGTAGATGTATCACACATATCACATAAAGTACCTATAATATCAGCACTTTGGGAGGCTGAAGCAGTAGGATTCCATGAGAAAAGGAGTTTGAGGCTGCAATGAGCCATGATTATGCCACTGCCCTCCAGCATGGGCAACAGAGAGAGACCCTGTCTCTAAAAAAAAGAAAAAAAAATGTGTTAGGCCAGTAAATACACAAAAAACCATTCAATATAATTAGTCATCAGAGAAATGCAAATTAAAATCATGAGATTTGTGCCCAAAGAAATTCTTTTAACAATGTAGACAGCACCTTTATTCATTCATAAGTGACAGAAGCTAGAAACATTCTGGTTATTCATCAAACACATTGTGGTATATTCATTCAATGGATAATAATAAAAAGAAATGGATGTATATGCAATAACTGGGATAAATCTCTAAAACTATAGGCTGAGTGAAAGAAGTCTTTACAAGAATTTCATAATGCAAACTACTATTTGTATGAATTCTAGAAGAGATAAAACTAATGTTCCTTCTTACTACTTCACAATCTCCCCCTAAGGTATATACACTGCCTTAGGGAGGAATTGTGAAGTAGTAAGAAGGAGTTTTTTGTGTTGATGATAATGCTCTTTATCTTGATAGAGATTTTAGTTGCATATCTATGTGCATTTATCACTACTCAATGCAAGGCATATTTAAAATATTTTTACGTTTTATTTTATGTAAATTTTATCTAAACAATTAAAAGAACCATAAGTAAATATTTGTTCTTTTAATTATATTCATGCTGAAGTATTTGGGGGGAAATGTACCAATGCCATGCAAATTGCTGTAAAAAACATAAAAAATATTGAATTAATGAATGGATAGGCGGTTGTATGTGTATATGGATGTGGTAATAGAGGTGAAATAAAATATTAATTAAATAATAACAACATGTTTTAGTGTGGGGTGTATGGACTTTTACTGTAAAATTCTCTTTTGTATATTTAAAGCTAGATATAACAAAATACAGGGAGAAAACATATGTATTTGACATAGGTAATACAAACCAACCTAACGAAAGCACCCAAACAAAAAAATCACACTCCGAAAGCAATGTTCTTTTGCAGGATTTGCAGGTACTGGCTTACTAAACTGCCTCCACTCTCATTTCACATTCTCTCTTCAATGCCTTACACATTTTTTCCCCGTGTCATTTTATTGCAACTGCTGGCTCAAAAAAACCCTTTGCTACATGGAAGGGTGATAAATTAGTACTTAAATGATTTGATATGTATACCTACTTCCTTTAGGCTCCCATGATTTCTGATTCACTAGGTTTATCCCCAGCTTTTTTTGTTTGTTTGTTTGTTTTCTTTTCTTTTTTGAGACCGTGTCTCATTCTGTCGCCAGGCTGGAGTGCACTGGTACTATCTGTTCACTGCAACCTCCTCCTGCTAGGTTCAATTGATTCTCCTGCCTCAGCTCCTGAGTAGCTGGGACTACAGGCACACACCACCATGCCCAGCCAATTTTTGTATTTTTATTAGAGATGGGTTTCACCATATTGGCCAGGATGGTCTCCATCTCTTGACCTCATGATCTGTCCACCTCAGCCTCCAAAAATGCTGGGATTACAGGCGTGAACCACTACACCTGGTCCCCAACTTCTTTCGTATTCATTTCTGGTCATCTCTTTAACCCTCTTTGACTATAATCATTCCAAGTAGAATGATTATTCTCAACATTCCAAATGCCCTTAGGTACCCCATGCATTCATATATCTTTAGTGAAAGAATACATCTTAAACTAAATTTTTAGCTCATAACTCTTCAGAGAGCCCGAACTGGATTATCCAATTACCTGCTGGGTATCTACATTGAATTATTCATACGCACCTTAATCTAAAGATGTACAAAATAATTATTTGCTTCTAAACATGTTCCTGTGTATTTCTTGCATCAGTGATTAATTATAATATTTACCACACTAGCCAAAGTCTAAATTAAAAATTCACCATTATTTTTTCCTCCACATTCCCAAACACAATCAATCACTGACTTTGATTTTTTTCTGTTCCTTTTATATCTTATAGCTCTATTTTTCTCTAATAATTCTGCCTTTTATTAGTCAAGCACATTTTAAGTCTTGTCTAGACAGTTCAAGTCTTCTAAATAATATTACTATTTCAGATGCTGTCTTTCTTCTGTCCAGTCTCAATACTGAAGCCAACATGATCATTTTGAAATGGATCTCTGATTATTTTTTTAATCTTCTTAAAAATTATGTAGTGTTATCTCATTGCCTTCAGAATCATACATAGATTAAGTCTTGCTTCTCAGCCTGCCATATAAGACTTATTATTATCTTTTCTCTCTTTACATCTTGAGTGTCATATCTTTACACTTACCCATTGTAATAGGCTAATAATGCCCTCCCCCTGCAAAGTTGTCCATACTGTAATCCCCAGAACCTGTGAATATGTTGTATTACATGGCAAAAGGGACTTTACAGATATGATTAAGTTTACCAACTTTGAGATAGAGATAATATCTTATATTATTTAGATGGGTACAATCTATTTATATGAGCTTTTCAATGCAGAGACACTTTACTCTTTGAAGTCAGAGAGATAAGGCAGAAAGAAGGCAAGAAAGACGAAGTGGGAGAAGGACTTGACCCCACCTCATCTCTCTTGCTTTGAAGATTAATGGGCTTTGAGGCATGGAATACAAGTAGGCCCTGGAGGGTGGAAGTGACCTTGAACTGACGGCCAACAAAGAAATGGATCCTTTAGTACTGATTGTACATTAGTACAATATCAAGAAATTGAATTCTGTCAACAACTTACAAAAGCCTGGAAGCTGATTCTCAACAAAGCCTCTAGTGCAGCCCTACTGCCATTTTGATTTTAATCCCAAGAGAACTGTGCCAGGGTTCTGACCTGCAAACTGTGTGATAATAAATTTGTATTGTTGCATGTGCAATCAATTGATCTTTGACAAAGATGACAAAAATAAACAGTGGAGAAAGGACATTCTATTCAACAACTGGTGCTGGGAAAACTGGCTAGCCATTTGCAGAAGAGTAAAACTGGACCCCTACCTCACACCATATACAAAAGTTAACTCGAGGTTGATTAAAGAGTTAAATGTAGGACATAAAACTATAAAAACTCTAGAAGAAAGTCTAGGAAAAACTCTTCTAGGTGTTGATGTAAGCAAATAATTTATCACTAGGACCTCCAAAGCAATTGCAAGAAAAAAATGGACAAATGGGAGTAAAGAGATTCTTCACAGCAAAATAAACAATCAACAAAATAAACAGACAACCTACAAAATGGGAGATAATATTTGCAAACTATGCATCCTACAAAGAACTAATATCCAGAATATATAAGGAACTTAAACAAATCAACAAGAATAAAAAGCAAATACACCTATTAAAAAATTGGCAAATGACATAAACAGACACCTCTCAAAAGAAAACTTACAACAGAAAACAAACATGAAAAATGCTCAAAATCGCTTACCATCAGATAAATGCAAATTAAAACCACAATGAGATACCATCTCACAAAAGTTGGAATGGCTATTACAAAATTATTAAACACATGTTGGCAAAGATTCAGAGAAAAGGGAAAGCTTACATACTGTTGGTGGGAACGTAAATTAGTTCAGCCTCTATAGAAAACTGTATGAAGATTTCTCAAATGACTAAAAATGGAACTGCTATTCGACCTAGCAACTCCACTACTGGGTGTCTACTCAGAGGAAAATAAATCATTTTATTAAAAAGGTACCTGCACTCATATGTTTATTGCAGCACCATTCACAATAGCAAAGACATGGAATCAACCCAGGTGCTCATCAATGGTAGATTGGATAAAGAAAATGTCATATACATACACCATGGAATACTATGCAGCCATGAAAAGGAATGAAATAATGTCCTTTGCAGCAACATGGATGTAGCTGGAGGCCATTATCACAAGTGAATTAATTCAGAGAAAGAAAATCAACTTCTGCATGGTCTCAACTATAAGTGGGAGCAAAACAATGGATACACATGGATAAAAGGATGAAAAATATAGACACTGGTGACTCCAATAGTGGGGAAGATGGAGGAGTACAAGGGTTAAATAAACTACCTATTGAGTACTATGTTCACTATTTCAGTAATGGGTTTACTAGAATCTGAAACCTTAGCATCACTCAATATACCCATGTAACAAACTTGTACATGTGCCCCCTGAATCTAAAATAAAATAACAATTTTTAAAAATTGTGTTTTTTAAGTCACTAAGTTTGTGGCAATTAGTCACATCAGCAATAGAAAACTAATACAGTTATATTGAATTATAAGCTTCAGCATTTCAAGAACCTTGTATACCTTTTTTTGTCTCCAGAGGTTTTCATATCCTTTTCTCTCTGCCTGGAACACCCTTTCTTCTTTGATTCTTATCTCCATCATTCTCATACATTATTTTCTAATAATATTTAAAGTCTCTTTTTAATCTCCTATTTTTGACAGAGTTATTTCATTTTCTATGAACCCCTCTAAAATCTGGGCTTTTCTCCAGCAGAAAACCTGTCATATAATATTAAAACTTTCCATATTCCTGCCTGTCTTTCACCTGAAGCTAATTGAGACAGGAACTATGTGTCATTTATTACACTACCTCTTCTATTAATCATAATACCTGGCATATTATAGGCTCTTAGCAAATATTTTTGAATGAATAAAAGCTAACGCAAAGTAAATACATTAACTCTATTTGTTTAGACATTTTGTATTTGACAAATTACATACATACCTTGAGATTACTAAAGGCAATCACTCTATCTGATCAAACAGAAAATAAGGGGGATATATTTATATAGGACGTTCTTCCATTTCTCTGTCTATCCAATTATCCAGCCAAAGTTTGTCAGTCTTGTTATTCTAGTCTCAAGGTTGCTATCACTTACAATTAACCTGTTTTTAGCTTTTGGACTTTCTTGGGTATTTCATTCAGATATTTTACCATGCCTAATATTATCATTACAAGTCTGTGTCAAGTGAATGACTATTTTGTCTTTTGGAGATGTAACTATTTGCAAATTTGTTTGTGTAAAAGATGTGCTGGTATCATATAATTTAGCTCTTTACCTTCTCAACCACAACTACCTGTATAAACATGAAAGGAAAGGCCCCATTTTAGGGGAGTGGCATACTGAAAGATACTAGCTTGGAATAAAAGGCTGTCTAATTAGAAGTACTAATATTTTCCATGTTAGCTGCAATTAATTCTAATATCATGAAGCCATCGAATAAATTCAAAGAAACAGCCAAAAATGGATATTTGGGAGAATTATTGTTTTGTGTTTTATTTTTCTAGCATAAGGTGACCTTTGAATGTGTTCTCCCTTACTTTTAGAAAGAGATGGAGAGAACATAAGAAAATGCAACAGTTTACAAAGCCCTATAGTCAGCCCTGTGATACATTTGTATGTGTCCAATAATTGTCGTTAATGTTGTTGGGCCTACCAGAAATAACTAAATTATTTAGAGAGGGGAGCTCTAGTTGTTATATAGCACATGTTCAGATCTGTCATAGCCCAATGGTCAGGAATTCAGATGGTTTTGTGGATCATGTTTCTATTTATAGGCAAAATTTTATATGTATGTGTATGTTTTAAGGAGAAGAAATTCATAGCTTTTACTAAGTTCTCAGAAGCTACAGGGTCTGAAAAAAATTAAGAACTACTACATTTAAAACCACCTTTAAAAATATATAACCCTAAGCCTACTCAATGAATTGATACACCAGTATGTTTTTTAAATATAAATTCATATAATGTCTTGAATATAATGAAACTCATAATTTCTTATAAATGTGGAATAAAACAAATATTGAATAGAATTTCTTAGATTTTCTTTTTCTTCTTATTTTCTTTACTCTTCAAGATAATTAGCAACCTAATCTTCTCTTAAAATATAAAATGATGTCCTCTTGCCACTTTTTGTCAAGTAAGCATCTTTGTAATGACTTTCAAAGCTAAAAAAGAATATTAGAAAATAAATTTTTGGTTACAGTGGTAAAAATTTCACTAATGTTTTGACCTAAATTAGGGACTCCGTGCTTCCAGATATCATAAATCATCAGTGAGATGGCCTTTCCAGAACTGAACTTCATTTACTGCTTTCATTGACCATATGAAATACAGGTGTCCTTATCAGTGACCACCACAAAGAAACAGGGAAGACTCTTAACCTTTTAATGTGGTCTATTTCAATATGTAGCAAAATAGAATAGAATCCACATGAAGGTGAGTGGATTATAAAAGTAGGTGTTCAGATTTTAGCAATGTAAAATTCAAAAATGTCTCAGCAGAACCCTTAAATCATAATTATTCAACACAGGTCATTCCTTGGTAATAACCAACAAAACAGTTTTGTGGTAAAAGGAAAAAACTTGAGTAAAGTATAAGAACTATCTTGTAAAGTCAAAGAATGTGGGTCAAAAAGCAGCCTAAATTAGTCTGATTGCTTCATATTATTTGTTATGAAGCCACACCAAAGAAATATATAAACTTGTACTAAAACTTCCATTAGAGATGCAGCTCTATGTTTCCATGTATTAGAACTTTGGCAAGTAAATTAACATATGTAAGCCTCACTTTAGTTTGTTAGTTAGAAATAGTATGCCTATTTTATAGCTACTTTTAATGATATTTAAATTAGGGAATTTATATTTTAATACATTATAAACATGTAAGACCCTGTCATTACCACCTGTGTCTTCTTTAGAGAGGGCTCTCTTCTCTCATGATTGTGCTCTCTTTCAGCTTCTGTTTTCTATTTTAATTGTTTACTTTTCTTCTTATCTACTCTATGGACTCTTGGAGCATTAATTTATGTATTCATTGTGTCCAACATAACTCTTAACACACAGAAGGGTTTTTAATGGTTTATATGTTATAACGGACACATAAATACTCCTGGTAAACTATTACTTACCTTATTAATTTGCCATTAGCAATAGTATTTAGTCAGATCTGAGTAATAGTGTTTTCCAGTTATCTTTATTTGAGGGAATGATGTCTTTCAAAACTATAATTTACATAAACATAGAATTTTAAAAATGTATTCTTGGCTAATTCGCCAAGAATATATAAAAATTGTAAATATATTGTAAACACAACAGCAATATGGAGCACTTAAATACAGTATGTGCACCATATTGGAGTACCTAAATACATGAAACAATTATTAAATGATCTGAAGGGAAAGATAGACCCTAATATATAATAGTAGATTACCTCAATTCCCCAATTTCAACAATAGACAAATTATCTACAGAGAAAATCAATACGGAAACATTGGATTTGAATTACACCTTCGACCAAGTAGACCTAACAGAAATATACAAAACATTCCACCCGACAGCAGCAAAATACACATTGTTCTGAAGTGCACACAAACGTTCTCCAGGATAGATCACATGTTAGGGCACAAAACAAATCTTAACAACCTTGAGAGGACTGGAATGGTATCAAATATTTTTTGCATCCCAATGCAGGAAACTAGAAATCAGTAGCAGGAGACATTTTTTAAAATACACAAATATGTGGAAATTAAATACCATAGTCTTAAACAATTAATAGATTACAGAAAAATATTACAAAAAAATGAGTAAATGCCTTGAGGCAAGAGAAAATGGAAACAAACATACAAAAACTCATGAGGTAGCAAAAGCAGTCCTAGAAGGGAAAATTATAGTGATAAATGCTTATACCAAAAGAAAGAAAAGATATCAAATAAACAATCTAATGTTACACCTCAAGGAGCCAAAAAAAAGAACAAACTAAGTTTAAATTTAGCAGAAAAAAATGAAATAACAAAGTTCAGAGCATAAATAAATAGAGTACAGAAAAGCAATTTAAAAATCAACAAAACTAAGAATTGGTTTCTGAAAAGATAAGCAAAATTTAAAAACCCTTAACTAGACTAACTAGAAAAAAAGAGAGAAAACTTAGATCAATAAGATCAGAAATGAAAGAGGAGACATTGCTACTGAAACCACAGAAATACAAAACATCATAAGAAACTACTATGACAATTATTGCCAACAAATTAGATAATCTAGTACAAATGGATAAATTCTTAGACACATACAATCTACCAGAACTGAATCACGAATATGTAGAAAATGTAAAGAGATGAATAAGAAGAGGTTCTATCAGTAATAAAGATACTCCTATCAAAGAAAACCCAGAACTGAAAAAACTTCACTGCTGACTTGTAAAAAAAAAAAATTGAATAATATCAAGTATTCTCAAATTTTTCAAAAAAATTGCAACACAGCGTCACTTTTTGAGGTTAGCACTACCCTGATACCAAAGTCAGACAAGAACACTACAAGAAAAGAAAGTGTACAAGCCAATATCCCTCATGAACACAAACGCAAAAATCCTCAACATAATATCGGCAAATGGAATTCAAGAACAAATTAAATGAATCATTCACCATAATCAAGTGGGCTTTATCCGTAGGATGCAAGGATGACTCAACATATGATACATCATGCTATAAAATAAAGAACAAAAATCATATGATTACCTCAGAAGAAAAAAAGCATTTGGCAAATTTAACATCTTTATAATAAGAAAAATGCAACTCTTGACAGACGATTGATACAAGACTCAACAGGTATTGAAGGAACGCAGCTCAATATAATAAAGGCCATAAATGACAAGCCCATGGTGAATAGTTGAAAGCTTTTTTTCTAAGATGAGAAACAGGACAAGGATGCCCACTACCACTTGTTTTCAACATGGTACTGGGAAGTCCTAGCCAGAGCAACTAGCCAAGAGAAAGAAACAAAAAGTAGCTTTAAAGGAAAGGAAGAAGTTAAATTGTCTCTATTTGCTGACAATATGATCTTATATAGAGAAAACCCTAATAACTGACCAAAACTGTTAGAATTGATAAATTAATTCAGTAAAGCTGCAGGATACAAATCAGCAGGAAAAAACTTGTAGCGTTTCCATATACTAATAACAAACTATCTAAAAACTTTTTTTAAAAAAAGATCCTATTTACAATAGCAACAAATCAATTAAAATTAATCAAGGAGATTAAAATTGTACCGAAAATTGTAAAATACTGATGAAAGAGATTGAAGAAAACACAAATAAATATAAAGCTATAACATGAATTAATATTGTGAAAATGTCTGTACTACCCAAAGTGATATACAGATTCAGTGCAATTCCTCTCAAAATTCCAATATGATTTTTCAAAAAAATAGAAAAAAATTCTTTTTTTTGGTATTTGTATGGAGCCATAAAAGTCCCAAAACAGCCAAAACAATCCTGAGCAAACAAAGAAACAAACAGCAAAAAAACAAAGCTGTAGGCATCACACTACCTGATTTCAAAATCAGCTACAAAGCTAAATTAATTAAACACCAGCTTATTTGCATAAAAACAGATACATTGATCAATGGAACATAATAGGGAGCCCAGAAATAAACCCACACATATGGCCAATTGATTTTTTGATGAATGTGCCCAGAACACACAATGGGGAAATGATAGTCTCTTCCATAAATGGTGATGGGAAAACTGAATAACCAAACAGAAACAAATAAAATTAGACCCATGCCTCACATCATATAAAAAAATCAATTTAAAATAGAGTAGACTTAAATATAAGACCTGAAACTGTAAATCTACTAGAGAAAACAGAGCAAAATCTCCATGACATTGGTCTAAGCAACAGGATATTTTGGATGTGATCCCAAAAGCATAGGCAACAAAAGAAAAAACGAAAAAAATGAATTTATTTCAAACTAAAAAGTTTCCACAGAGAAAGAATAAAACTAATAAGGTGTTGTGACAACACAGAGAATACAAGAAAATACTTGCAAGCCATACATTTGACAGGCGGTTAATACACCAAATATATGGATGATCCTTGATTATGATGGGATTACAACCCAATAAACCCATCCCAATCTAAAAATATAACAAATAAAAATACATTTAACACCTCAATAAACTCATTGTACAGTCAAAATTATAAGTTGAAGAGATGTCTAGATATTCCTCACATTATGATGGGNAGTCTATCCTGATAAACCCATTGTAACGACAAAAAATTGAAAGTTGAATCATTATAAGGGAAGGAACATCTATACAAAGAACTCAAACCAACTCAATAGCATTAAAACAAGTCACTTAATTTAAAAATTGGCAAAGAACCTATAAAATATATTTCCAAAGAAGACATACAAATGACCAAAAGGTACATGAAAATATGTTCCACATTACTAATCATTAGGGTAATGCAAATTAAAACAACAAGTTATTACTTCACATCTGTCAGAATTGCTATTATCAAAAACATGGAAAGATAAGGGTTGGCAAGAAATCAGAGAAAAGAGAACTCCTGTACTTTTTTGGTGAGAATGGACATTAGTACAGCCATTATGAAAAACAGTGTGGTAGTTTTCCAAGAAACTAAAATTAGAACTGCCATGGGATTCAGTAATCCCACTTCTGAGTATATTTCCAAAGGAACTGAAATCAACAGTCAAAGTGATGTCTGCATTCTCATGTTTTTTGTAGCATTATTCATAATGGTCGAGATATGGAATTAACTTAAGTGTCTATCAAAGCATGAATAGATAAAGGGAATATGGTAAATATATACAATAAAACATTATTCAACTTTTAAAAAGAAGGAAATCCTGTCATTTGTGATGACATGAATGAATCTGGAGGACATTGCACCAAGTGAGATAAGCCATGCACAAAAAGACAAATATTGCATGGTCTCACTTATATGTGGAATCTAAAGTACATTGAACTCATAGAAGTAGAGAATAGGATAATGGCTACCAGGAGCTGCGGGAAGAGTAGGGAGAGGAAATGGGGAGATGTTAATCAAAAGGAACTAAGTTTCAGATAGATATGAAAAATAAATCGAGATCTATTGAGCATTGGGGTAACTACAGTCAATAATAATGGACTGTACATTTCAAAATAACAAAAAAAGTAAATTTCAGAAGTCTTGCCATAAAAATGATAGGTAAATAAAGTGATGGATGTGCTAATTAGCTTGATTTAATTAGTCCACGTTGTATACCTATATCAAAACATTGCATCATACCCCTAAATGTATACAACTTGTTTATCAAAAATAATATTGAGAAACAAATAAGAAAAGAAAATGTGTCATTTTTTCTGACTATATATTCCATTATAAATATTTTAATTACAATCTAAAATTAAGGAAACTTTTTTTTTAGAAAAGATGAGAACCTAAAATTCTACAAATCCTCTTCTCCTATTTCTTCATCATGAATATCATTACAATCAAACTCTTGGTAGCTTTTTATTGATTGCACAACAATTTCTAAGACCTTTACTGGTCACATCAACTCATTATGTCATTGAGTTTTTATAAGAATCCAGGGGTAATCATAATGATTCCCATTTTCAAATGTGAGGAAACAGAAGGCTTAAAGAGATTAATTTGTTTATTTTAACAAAAAATATTGATAAAGCAAGGATCCATGTACAAACATAATTAGAACCCATGTTCACAACATAATGGTTAATTCATAATTATTTTTCTCAAGGATTCTTCAGTCTGTTAAATTAGAACTTCTAGATATATCAAAAGAAGGTCACTAACTATATTGACCTTCCAGCCATCATCCAGATTTTTAAATGACTTAACAAACTGGTTAAATATTTATCCATATAGCTAAGAAAGAGAACTGCTAAAACATGGCTCCTATAAGTTGCAAAAGTATATGCCTACAGACCTTGAAGATTTTGCCCAATCAAACATGTGGATGATGGTGATGTCACTGGAATGGAAAGTCAGTCTCTGCACTGTCCTCCATACTACCTAGGAGAGTAAGAACAGCTTGAGTACAACAGTACACCATTTATAACACATTAGTCAAGGAAGCTATGTGTAGAAAAGTTTGCCCAGAGAAAAGCTATACAGTTATAAAATACTGAGCCATAAAGTTGAGGTGGAGTGGAGGTAAAAAGTTATGACTGATTTTAAAGAAAAAAATACAGTAAGCTACTTAAGGAGGCATAAGTTGTAAGTGTGTCTACTATTTCTATTTGCTCTTGGAGTGGTTTTTTGGGTGCCCAGGATGAATTCCAGAAAAATTGTGACATCTTGAAAATACATTTGATTCATAATTTTTCACTGCTGAGAGTAATTCACTGGATTGGAAGCCTGAATTGAGGATAAGCCAGAAACTTTGAGGAATTTGGCAATTTAAGTGCAAAAGTAATCAGAATGAAGAGAAGAACAAAATGTTGGCACACAATATACTTCTCACAAGGAAAACCTGGCCTTGTAGCAAGGAAGGCTAAACACAAGTCCCCCCCACCCCCTAAAAAAAGGAATGAAAGCTAAAGAGGTCTTAAAACTTACCAAAAAATTTTCCATTTGTATTCTTTCATTTGCTATGAGTCAGCAGAATTTGAAAACACCATCAAACTTGACATCAAGGGGCCAGGCTGACTCAATGGACCAAAAGATTATGGTAGACACAGTTGTCAAAGCAAAAACTGCACCATGCAATGTTAAACAGGTAAGGGAGACTAAGCCTACTGTAAGAGTATAGAGAGGTTAATCTGAGCTCAACTTTGCTGAAACAAAAAGCAGGACAGATTTAAGAGCTGGGTTAAGGAATCTTAGGATATCTGTGTTTGCTAATTGGCATTGCTCAAAGGAAAAGTACACTTTCTTGAGAGGAGATAGTTTTATAACTTCTAGGAAGACATCCACTAAACTTAGGCTCCTACTGTCCCACAGAGAGAGGGAGAAAGGGGCTGTATCTTCCTTGACAATTATATTTCAAAAGAATGGCTCCCAGGTCCTGGAAAAGTCAGTTCTGCATTGTAAGCCTAACGGAGGCTTTTAAAAAGATTTACATCACAAAAGGGAAGAGAAACAAACTGATTGCAAGTTTTCTAAAGTAAATGCTCTAAAAAAAGTTGCCAGGAGATCAGGGCCTGGAATCAGAAAGAAGCAGGTCTGAAGTTTACTTAAGCTGAGAGCAGCTTTAAGGTCCATCTTGGTCACAAGTTAAGTAAGTTAGAAAAAATAAGACATAATATGAAAGCAAAAATCTCTTCTCAGCCTAATGTTAGGTGTTGCTCCTTTGCATCTTTTGTTTTTAAGTGCTGTTTTTTGGTACTGAGCCCTAGGATCACTTTTCTTTTCTTAATACAATTTCCTGAAGCATATCATCAGCCCACATTACTTTAATTGTTATTTATCTGATGACAATTTTCAAACTATGATATTTATATTTTCAAAGGAAAATATGTTTGGCTCATAAATTCTAAGTTGAGTGTACTTGTCTTTACTGGAGAAAATATATATACACACACTTGTGCATGAGCACATACATGGAACTCAGGCAAAAACAAATGAACAAGCAAAATAAGAATTAAAAACAAATTAAAATTAAAATAACCAAAGACCTAGAGGGTTGCAATAGAAAACTGCTGTAAATGCAGTTATGGAAGAGTTTACAGGTATCAACATTTCTTAGAAGAGTAGATTTCTTATAAAAAGTGACTTGAGGGGGCAGTTCCAAGATGGAAGAATAGGAAAAGCTCCAGTCTACAACTCCCAGCATGAGTGATGCAGAAGACAGGTGATTTCTGCATTTCCAACTGAGGTACCAAGTTCATCTCACTGGGGCTTGTTGGACAGTGGGTGCAGGACAGTGGGTGCAGTGCACCAAGAGTGAGCCGAAGCAGGGCAAGGCATTGCCTCACCTGGGAAGTGCAAGGGGTCAGGGAATTCCCTTTCCTAGCCAAGCGAAGCTGTGACAGACAGCACCTGGAAAACTGGGTCACTCCCATGCTAATACTGTGCTTTTCCAATGGTCTTAGCAAATGGCACACCAGGAGATTATATCCCACGCCTTGCTCAGAGGGTCCCACATCCACAGAGCCTCACTCATTGCTAGCACAGCAGTCCGAGATCAAACTGCAAGGTGGCAGTGAGGCTGGGGAAGGGGCGCCCACCATTGCTGAGGCTTGAGTAGGTAAACAAAGTGGTTGGGAAGCTCGAACTGGGTGGAGCCCACTACAGCTCAAGGAGGCCTGCATGCCTCTGTAGACCCCACCTCTGAGGGCAGGGCATACCTGAATAAAAGGCAGCAGAAACCTCTGCAGACTTAAATGTCCCTGTCTGACAGCTTTGAAGAGAGTAGTGGTTCTCCCAGCATGGAGTTTGAGATCTGAGAATGGACAGACTGCCTCCTCAAGTGGGTCCCTGATCCCCGAGTAGCCTAACTGGGAGGCACCACACAGTGGGAGCAGACTGACACCTCATAAGGCCGGGTAACCCTCTGAGATGAAACTTCCAAAGGAACAATCAGGCATTTGCTGATCAGCAATATTCGCTGTTCTGCAGCCTCTGCTGCTGATACCCAGGCAAAAAGGGTCTGGAGTGGACCTCCAGCAAACTCCAACAGACCTGCAGCTGAGGGTCCTAACTGTTAGAAGGAAAACTAACAAACAGAAAAACATCCAAACAAAACCCCATCTGTATGTCACCATCATCAAAGACCAAAGGTAGATAAAACCACAAAGATGGGGAAAAAAACAGAACAGAAAAGCTGAAAATTCTAAAAATCAGAGCGCTTCTCCCCCTCCAAAGGAATGCAGCTCCTCACCATCAATGGAACAAAGTTGGATGGAGAATGACTTTGATGAGTTGAGAGAAGAAGGCTTCAGGTGATGAAAGTTCTCCGAGCTAAAGAAGGAAGTTTGAACCCATCACAAAGAAGGTAAAAACCTTGAAAAAAGATTAGATGAATGGCTAACTAGAATAAGCAGTGTACAGAAGTCCTTAAATGACCTCATGAAGCTGAAAACCACAGCATGAGAACTATGTGACAAATGAAAAAGCTTCAGTAGCTGATTTGATCAACTGGAAGAAAAGGTATCAGTGATTGAAGATCAAATGAATGAAATGAAGCAAGAAGAGAAGTTTAGAGAAAAAAGAGTAAAAATAAATGAACAAACCTCCAAGAAATATGGGACTATGTGAAAAGACCAAATCTATGTCTGATTGGTGTACCTGAAAGTGACGGGGAGAATGGAACCAAGTTGGAAAACACTCTGCAGGATATTATCCAGGAGAACTTCCCCACCTAGCAAGGCAGACCAACATTCAAATTCAGGAAATACAGAGAATGCCACAAAGATACTCCCAGAGAAGAGCAACTCCAAGACACATAACTGTCAGATTCACCAAAGTTGAAATGAAGGAAAAAATGTTAAGGGCATTCAGAGAGAGAGGTCAGGCTAACCACAAAGGGAAGCCCATTGGACTAACAGCAGATCTCTCAGCAGAAACTCTGCAAGCCAGAAGATAGTGGGGCCAATATTCAACATTCTTAAAGAAAAGAATTTTCAACCCACAATTTCATATCCAGCCAAAATAAGCTTCATAAGTGAAGGAGAAATAAAATCTTTTACAGACAAGCAAATGCTGAGAGATTTTGTCACCACCAGGCCTGCCCTACAAGAGCTCCTAAAGGAAGCACTAAACATGGAAAGGAACAACCAGTACCAGCCACTGCAAAAACATGCCAAATTGTAAAGACTATGGATGCTAGGAAGAAACTGCATCAACTAATGAGCAAAATAGCCAGCTAACATCATAATGACAGGATCAAATTCACACATAACAATATTAACCTTCAATGTAAATGGGCTAAGTGCTCCAATTAAAAGACACAGACTAGCAAATTGGATAAAGAGTCAAGACCCATCAGTGTGCTGTATTCAGGAGACCCATCTCACATGCAGAGAAACACATAGGCTTAAAATAAATGGATGGACCAAGATCTACCAAGCAAATGGAAAACAAAAAAAGGCAGGGGTTGCAATCCTAGTCTCTGATAAAACAGACATTGAACCAACAAAGATCAAAAGAGACAAAGAAGGCCATTACATAATGGTAAAGGGATCAATTCAACAAGAAGAGCTAACTATCCTAAATATATATGAACCCAATACAGGAGCACCCAGATTCATAAAGCAAGTCCTTGGAGATCTACAAAGAGACTTAGACTCCCACACAATAATAATGGGAGACTTTAACACCCCACTGTCAACATTAGAAAGATAAGTGAGACAGAAAGTTAACAAGGATATCCAGGAATTGAACTCATCCCTGCACCAAGTTGACCTAATAGACATCTACAGAACTCTCCACCCCAAATCAACAGAATATACATTCTTCTCAGCACCATATCACACTTATTCCAAAATTGACCACATAGTTGGAAGTAAAGCACTACTCAGCAAATGTAAAAGAACAGAAATTATAACAAACTGTCTCTCAGACCACAGTGCAATCAAACTAGAACTCAGGATTAAGAAACTCACTCAAAACCACTCAACTACATGGAAACTGAACAACCTGCTCCCGAGTGACTACTGGGTAAATAACAAAATGAAGGAAAAAATAAAGATGTTCTTTGAAAGCAATGAGAACAAAGACACAACATACCAGAATCTCGGGGACACATTTAAAGCAGTGTGTAGAGGGAAATTTATAGCACTATGTGCCCACAAGAGAAAGCAGGAAAGATCTAAAATTCACACCCTAACAACACAATTAAAAGAATTAGAGAAGCAAGAGCAAACACATTGAAAAGCTAGCAGAAGGTAAGAAATAACTAAGATCAGAGCAGAACTGAAGGAGATAGAGACACAGAAAACAACCCTTCAAAAAATCAATGAATCCAGGAGCTGGCTTTTTGAAAAGATCAACAAAATAGATAGGCTGTTAGCAAGACTAATAAAGAAGAAAAGAGAGAAGAATCAAACAGATACAATAAAAAATGATAAAGGGGATATCACCAGCGATCTCACAGAAATACAAACTACCATCAGAGAATACTATAAACACCTCTATGCAAATAAACTAGAAAATCTAGAAGAAATGGATAAATTCCTGGACACATACACCCTCCCAAGACTAAACCAGGAAGAAGTTGAATCTCTGAATACACCAGTAACAGGCTCTGAAATTGAGGCAATAATTAATAGCTTACCAACCAAAAACAGTCCAGGACCAGACAGATTCACGGCCAAATTCTACCAGAGGTACAAGGAGGAGCAGGTACCATTCCTTCTGAAACTATTCCAATAGATAGAAAAAGAGGGAATCCTCCCTAACTCATTTTATGAGGCCAGCATCATCCTGATATCAAAGCCTGGCAGAGACACAACAACAAAAGAGAATTTTAGACCAATATCCCTGATGAACATCGATGCAAAACTCCTCAATAAAATACTGGCAAACCAAATCCAGCAGCACATCAAAAAGCTTATCCACCATGATCAAGTGGGCTTTATCCCTGTGATGCAAGGCCGGTTCAACATATGTAAATCAATAAACATAATCCAGTATATAAACAGAACCAAACACAAAAACAACATGATTATCTCAATAGATGCAGAAAAGTCCTTTGACAAAATTCAACAGCCTTCATGCTGAAAACTCTCAATAAATTAGGTATTGATGGGACATATATCAAAATAATAAGAGCTATTTATGACAAACCCACAGCCAATATCATACTGAATGGGCAAAAACTGGAAGCATTCCTTTGGAAAACTGGCACAAGACAGGGACACCCTCTCTCCCCACTCCTATTCAACATAGTGTTGTAAGTTCTGGCCAGGGCAATCAGGCAGGAGAAAGAAATAAAGGGTATTCAATTAGGAAAGGAGGAAGTCAAATTGTCCCTGTTTGCAGATGACATGATTTGATATCTAGAAAACCCCATCGTCTCAGCCAAAAATCTCCTTAAGCTGATAAGCAACTTCAGCAAAGTCTCAGGATACAAAATCAATGTACAAAAATCACAAGCATTCCTATACACCAATAACAGACAAACAGAGAGCCAAATCATGAGTGAACTCCCATTCACAATTGCTTCAAAGACAATAAAATAACTAGGAATCCAACTTACAATGGATGTGAAGGACTTCTTCAAGGAGAACTACAGACCACTGCTCAACAAAATAAAAGAGGACACAAACAAATGGAAGAACATTCCATGCTCATTCATTGATAGGAAGAATCAATATCATGAAAATGGCCATACTGCCCATGGTAATTTATAGATTCAATGCCATCTCCATCAAGCTACCAACGACTTTCTTCACAGAATTGGAAAAAACTACTTTAAAGTTCATATAGAACCAAAAAAGAGCCCATATTGCCAAGAAAATCCTAAGCCAAAAGAACAAAGCTGGAGTCATCACACAACCTGACTTCAAACTATACTACAGTGCTGCAGTAACCAAAACAGCATGGTAATGGTACTAAAACAGGGATACAGACCAATGGAACAGAACAGAGCTCTCAGAAGTAATACCACACCTTTACAACATCTGATCTTTGACAAACCTGACAAAAACATGAAATGGGGAAAGGATTCCCTGTTTAATAAATGGTGCCTGGAAAACTGGCTAACCATACATATAAAGCTGAAACTGGATCCCTTCCTTACATCTTATACAAAAATTAATTCAACATGGATTAAAGACTTAAATGTTAGATCTAAAACCATAAAAACCCTAGAAGAAAACCTAGGCAATACCATTCAGTTCATAGGCATGGGCAAGGACTTCATGTCTAAAACACCAAAAGCAATGGCAACAAAAGCCAAAATTGACAAATGGGATCTAATTAAACTAAAGAGCTTCTGCACAGCAAAAGAAACTAACATCAGAGTGAATAGGCAACCTACAGAATGAGAAAAAAATTTTGCAATCTAGTCATCTGACAAAAGGCTATTATCCAGAATCTACAAAAACTCAAACAAATTTACAAGAAAAAAACAACCCCATCAAAAAGTGGGTGAAGGATATGAACAGATATTTCTCAAAAGAAGAAATGTATGCAGCCAACAGACACATGAAAAAATGTTCATCATCACTGGCCATCAGAGAAATGCAAATCAAAACCACAATGAGATACCATCACACACCAGTTAGAATGGCGATCATTAAAAAGTCAGGAAACAACAGGTGCTGGAGAGGATGTGAAAAATTGGAACACTTTTACACTGTTGGTGGGACTGTAAGCTAGTTCATCCATTGTGAAAGACAGTGTGGCAATTCCTCAAGGATCTAGAACTAGAAATACCATTAGACCCAGCCATCCTATTACTGGGTATATACCCAAAGGATCATAAATCATGCTGCTATAAAGACACATGCACATGTATGTTTATTGCGGCACTATTCACAATAGCAAAGACTTGGAACCAACCCAAGTGTCCATCAATGATAGACTGGATTAAGAAAATGTGGCACATATACACCATGGAATACTATGCAACCATATAAAAGGATGAGTTCATGACCTTTGTAGGGACATGGATGAAGCTGGAAGCCATCATTCTTAGCAAACTATCACAAGGACAAAAAACCAAATACGCATGTTCTCACTCACAGGTGGGAATTGAACAACGAGAACACCTGGACACAGGAAAGGGAACATCACACACAGGGACTGTTGTTGGGTGGGGGGAGCGGGGAGGGATAGCATTAGGAGATATACCTAATGTAAATGATGAATTAATGGGTGCAGCACACCAACATGGCACATGTATACATATGTAACAAACCTACATGTTGTGCACATGTACCCTAGAACTTAAAGTATAATTTAAAAAAAAAGTGACTTGAAGAGAGTAAAGTAGATCTAAATTTCCAGATTTTCCTAACAAAACTAAGCAGAAAGAAAAGAAATAGCAGAAAGAAAATATAACGTGCCAAAGATGTAGTAAGCACAATTAGTGTTATTATTACAGCAAATTTTTAGAGAATTGCAATTTTTACATTATTGAAAAACTAAAAGATCCTTTAAAGCAAAACTTAAAAGAAGATATGGAACTAACAAATCACTAAAATTGAGACACCATATAAACCATCTAGGAAAGGATAGAAAGACTATAGAATTTTAAATTATATGCATATGTTACTGTTTTGAATCTCCTTTGTAAAGGCAAAGACATGAGACTGTTAAATTATAGGAGGCTGGTTTTATTGGGCAAAACTCCTACACTAGTTCCCAACGGACCGGACTCAAAATGGAGTTACCTATGCTCACCAAAGTGAAATTGAATTTTCATCTGTCCTTCCAAGGAATTAGAAGAGAGAGAGATAACAGTCTAATTTCTGAACAGGGAAGTTTCCATCTTCAATTAGCATGATAATAAAGTGTCCTTTTAAAAAGATTTTTAAAATTTCAAAATAGTTTTATATTTATAGAAAAATTATGAAGACTGTACAGTTTCCATATACCCCACATCCAGTTTCCCCTATTAACAACATTTTATATTTGCCACAATTAATGAACTAATTTAAAAAATTTTTGATACAAAATATTTGTACATGTTTATGAGGCAGGTATGATATTTTGTTACACTCATAGAATGTGTAATGATCAAGTGAGTGTATTTAGGATATCCATCACCTTGATTATTTATTTCTGTGTTGGGAACATTTCAAGTTCTCTCTTCTAGCTATTTTTAAGTATATAATACATAACCATATATAATACATTGTTGTTTACTATACTTAACTTACTTTGCTATCGAATGTTAGAACTTATTCCTTCTATCTAATTGCATATTTGTACCCATTAACTTCTCTTTATCCCTCTTTTACCTGTCCCGATCTCTGGCAACCATCAATTTACTCTCTACTTCAATAATATAAATCTTTGTAGTTCCCACACGAGTGAGAACATGCAATATTTGTCTTTCTGTGCCATTATGTTATTTCACTTAACATAGTGACCTCCAGCTCCATTCCCGTTGCTGCAAATGACAGGATTTTATTAATTTTTGATGGTTGAATAATATTCTATTATTGTATATACACACACATACATAGATAGGTGAGATATCTATCTATATAGCTCTCTATGTAGATATATATGTGAGCTATATGTATCTCTATAGCTCTATCTTTGTCTCTCTCTATATATATAGCTCTCTATAGATATATATATCTGTGAGCTATATAGATCTATATAGAGCTATATATATAGGTAGCTATATAGACATATAGATAAATAGAGATATATTTCTATAGAGAGAGATATATAGAGATTTGTCAATATATCTATGAGATATATATCTAGGTATATCTCACATGTGTATGATATATCCTCCTTTGCTCAACTAATTGGAACACATATTTTATGGAACAAAATGTCGCCTGATTCTAAAATCACAATAAAACCAATATATTTAAATTAAATTGGTTATTTTGTCTGTTGAAAAGATAGATTTTTTAAAGTCCAAAATATACAACCCCAAAAAACTCAGAAAGCTTAACTATATCTCATATTTTCTTTATCCATGCATCCATTGATAGAAGTTGATTCCATATCTTTGCTATTGGGAACAGTGCTGCAATAAACATGGGGGTGCATGTATTTTTTGATATACTGATTTACTTTCCTTTGGATACATGACCAATAGTGAGATTACTGGATCATAGATAAAATAATAGTTGGAAATTTGAACATTTCACCTCCAACAGATTATCTAGACAAAAAAAATTCATCAAAGAATCATTGGATTTAAACTACATTTTAGACCAAGTGGTCCTAACAGATATTTATAGAGCATGTTATTCAACAGCTGCAGAATATACATTCTTCTCACCAGCACATGGAACACTCTGCAAGATAGATCATATGTTGGGTCACAAAACAAGTTTCAACAAATTTTTAAAAATCAAAGTCATATCAAGTGCTTTCTCAGACCACAATGGAATAAAACTAGAAATCAAAACCAAGAGTAACTTTGGAAACTGTACAAATACATGGAAATTAAGCAACATGCTCCTGAATGAGCATTGGATCAATGAAGAAATTAAGAAGGGAATACATATTTTTAAAATTCTTAAAACAAATGAAAATGAAAAATCAACAAACCAAAATTCATGTGAAAAAGCAAAAACAGTACTAAGAGGGAAGTTTATAGCAATGAACGCTGACTTTAGAAAAGCACCTCTGTTTTAATATGTAACCCTAAGTAACCTGAAGTTAACCAATAATTTAGCTATTTTTCTGTATCTCTCCCTCTGCCTTTCAAAGAGAGTTAATTTGAAATGCCCAGTCTGCTTTTTGTTCTTTGTTTCTTCTTTCTTCAACCCATTTTCTATCTATAAAACCATCCTCCTTTGCTCAACTAATTGGAACACATATTTTATGGAACAAAATGTTGCCTGATTCTAAAATCACAATAAAACCAATTAATATTTTTAAACTAAATTGGTTATTTTGTCTTTTGAAAATATAGATTTTTTAAAAGTCCAAAATATACAACCCCCAGAAAACTCAGAAAGGTTAACAATATCAAGGAAGCACAAAATTAGGCAGGTGTTTTAGGCAAACAGAAATGGAGGAAAATTGGTCCATATTTAATATAAAGATAAATATAAGCAGAAAAATGCATTACATGAGATAAAGCCAGTTTTTTAAATGCAGTTTTATTCCACAATGGATATACAATAAATATGATCACTTTTATGCTAACATATGAAACAAGAATGGTAGAAATACAAGGGAAAATTGTCCAAAAAATAATGAGGTGCTATAGACCTGCACAGTCCAATACAATAGCCACTACTTTTGTGTGACTATTTAATTTCTAACTGAAATTAGGTAGTATTAAATGCAATTAAATTCATTTACTCTTATGTCCTAGATACATTTCAAGCATTAAGTAGCTACATATGACTAGTGAATGCAGTTTTGGATAGTGCCAAAAACTGTGTCCATCATTGCAGAAGTTTCTACTGGAAAACACTGCTATAAATATCTTTCTCACTCTCTGATATATCAAACAGGAAAAATACAAATAGGATATAAAGGAAGTTCTTCAATTACAGTCATTAAATATATCTGATGTACCAACTATACTGGCACTGGAGCTACAACTGTAAATAAAACAGATGTCATCCTTGCTGATTCAAAATACCAAACATTAAAAATATATCCTGAAACAACTAATACATTGTCTTTTCCAGTATCATAGAGCATTTATTTTTAAAGCCATGTAGTCAAATATTGTGTACAGAATTGGTGGGTTCTTGGTCTTGCTGACTTTAAGAATGAAGCCGCAGACCCTCGCTGTGTGTTACAGTTCTTAAAGATGGCGTGTCTGGAGTTTGTTTCTTCTGATATTCAGACGTGTCTGGAGTTTCTTCCTTCTGGTGGGTTCGTGGTCTCGCTGACTTCAGGAGTGAAGCTGCAGACCTTCGTGGTGAGTGTTACAGCTATAAAGGTAGTGCAGACCCAAAGAGTGAGCAGCAGCAAGATTTACTGTGAAGAGCAAAAGAACAAAGCTTCCACAGCATGGAAGGGGACCCGAGCAGGTTGCCGCTGCTGGCTCTGGTGGCCTGCTTTTATTCCTTTATTTGGCCCCACCCACATCCTGCTGATTGGTCCATTTTACAGAGCATTGACTGGTCCATTTTATGCAGTGCTGATTGTTCTGTTTTACAGAGTGCTGATTGGTGCTTTTATAATCCTTTAGCTAGACACAGAGTACTAAATGATGCATTTACAATCCTTTAGCTAGACACAAAAGTTCTCCAAGTCCTTACCCAATTAGCTAGACACAGAGCACTGATTGGTACATTTACAAACTTTTAGCTAGACACAGAGTGCTGATTGGTGCATTTGCAATCCTTTAGCTAGACACAAAATTTCTCCAAGTCCCCACCTGACCCAGAAGCCCAGCTGGCTTCACTTCTCAATCTCCCTCCTAAACAGGACACCACAACTGCTGTTGGGAATTTGGCCAATGACTGCTCTAGCTACTTCCTGCTGGATAGGGGCAAAGAAGGGGCCCTGCAGTTGTAGTGTCCTAAAGAGGGGAACTCTTTAGGCCAGTGGAAGGGCCAGCAGGTTGGTCCACGGGTCCTTGGTAGAAGTTGTTAGTTGAACTCATTTGGGGTTCCATTTGTAAGACCATCTGTAGCTTGATGGCCTTGATTCTAGAGGAAACAAATTTGACAAGAAGGTTAAAAATACAGGGCCCAAAGGCGAGTAACAGCAAGATGGCTGCCACAGGACCTAGAAAAGGGAGAGGCAATGTTGCCCAACTCCAGAGGTTGGTATAAGAGTTTGAAAGGCATTGTCTGATTTCGGAAGCCTTTTCCTGTAAACGCCAGGAAGCATCTCTTACTATCCCTGACTGGTTAGTGTAAAAACAATACACTTCCCCTAAGAAGGTGCAGAGACCTCCTTTCTCAGCAGTGAGGAGGTCTAGGCCTCTGCAGTTTTGGAAGGTCACTGCTGCCAAAGAGTCTATTTGGGATTGTAGAGTAAGGATAGATTTCATTATTTCTTGCAAACTGTCTGAGAAATCCTTTGAGAGTGTGTGGTAGTAAGATAATGAAGTAGATAAACTGGCTCTTCTGCTCCCTGTAGCAGTAGCCATTCCTAACCCTATAAGTAGGGGTATTAGTTGTATGGCTCTGTGCTGACAGACTTGAGCTTTGAGGGGTACTGATAGGGTCTGATTTCCTAGGGCAATGTTAATGTTGGGACTTAGAAAGACTAAGGTGCAGTTGCCTGTCCAGTTAGTGGGGAGGTAAATATAGGTCGATGTTCCACATTAGAAGAATATACCTTGGCTGGGTAGACAGAATTGGTTGTGTATATTAAAAAGGTGTGTGAATTTGTTGTTTTCATTTATCCATACTCCTAGAGTACTTGCCAAGGTAGCTCCAGTAAGTGGCTGGAAAGGGGTATTGGGAGCTCCCTGTGTTCTATTTTCCCATTGGAGAAAAAAACCATTTTGTATCTACTAGGAACCATTTGAGAGAGTGACTGAAAGAGGGGATGAGAAGGCATTCACTAGTAGTGGGGGTGCTGCTGCAGGGTGTCCAGGGGTGAATGGTCATGCAGGGAATATGTTTGCCATTACAAAACCTGGACTGTTTGTTAAGCAGGGAGGAGGTGATGATTTTTGGGGGCCCTGAGCAGACAAACCATTTGAATGGAGCTGTTTGGGTGACTCAGAAGTTACTATGATCAGTTGGGGCTTGAAGTTGTAGGGTTTAATTACACTGATGGGGTAGTAAGTGCCCCAGGGGCAGGCCTGATAACAGGTTGCATTGGATGCATAAAGGGGCTTGGAAAGTTAAGATGGTATTCATAGTTACAGGGCTGTGTATGGGCTTTTCATTGCTTGTGTAATAGTTGAGGTTGGAAATGTAAGAACGTAAAAGTTGGATTGCGCCTCCTGTTAGGGTATTCTTGGTCCTATCAGAGATGGGTAAGTCAGCTAATGATTGCATATTTAGAAGTCAGAAAAGGTCTTTTCCTTCATAATGAGGGTGGTAGATTAAGTTGGTAAAGACCAAGTTTTTTATGGGACTGGGAGTGGCATCATAAGCAGAGGTTGATAGAGAGATACAAAGCCAACAGTCATTTGCCAGGGAAGGATTGGACTGGTTTAACAGACAGTGGGTTAAGTTGAGAGTCTTGTAGAGGTAATTAGGAGCTAGTGGAAGGGGAGCAGTGATTGTATGAGGTATCCAAGGAAGCAGGAGGGATAGATAGGCAAAGAGTAAATAGAAAGGTAAAGAGGGTGCTCTGGAAGATGACATCATTTTTTCCAGGCTGAGTTAAAGGTAGGAGTAAATTGCTGTCACAAGGAAGGATGATAGAAAGAAGGTTGATGTGATTAGGATTTTCATCCTGGCAGGAGCTACAGTATATAGTCCTATCACAAAGAGTATGGTTAGTATGCTGCTTAATAATATGATGAAATAGTAAAAGGATTCCATTAAAGGGGCAAGGAGAGGTATTAAAGATAAAGATTATGTAGGTTTTCACTTATCTTTTTTAAGGAGGAAGGGGTTTTTCCTCAGGATTAGTGGTAGGAGCCATTTTATTCTGGGATGTTTCCTTCCGAAATAGGAGATGCAAGTCCTCCAATGGTTCACAGGTGTATTGAGGCTGGTCTGGCTGATCTTGGGACTCCTGAGCTGATGGTCTCACAGGTTCCTCAGGGGATGTCCAAAATTTAACTCGGGTGTGGTGAATCCAAGATTTCACTCCTACCACCTTAACTGCAGTGTGGGTAGAGAGGATTATTGAGTATGACCCTTCCCACAGAGAGTCCATAGATGGGGAGGTAGAGGGGAGAGATTTGACCAACACTAGATCTCCTGGTTGAAACAACTCTGTTCCCTTTTCTCTGTGACATCCTTCAGGTAGGTTTTTAGGGTTTTGTTGATATTTTGCCGAAGAAGTTATATCTTTGAACAAGTTTGTCTTTTCCTCATCAAGTAGGAGGTCATTTGTGAGAAAATGTTGTCCATACAGCATTTCATATGGACTGAGCCCCATTTTGTGAGGAGAATTTCGGATTCTCAACAAGGCCATGGGCAAAAGAGTAGGCCATGGGAGATGTTCCTTGTGTTAGTTTCCTTAAGTGCCTCGAGTGTTTCATTTGCCTTCTTGACCTTCCCTGAGGATTGTGGCCTCCGGGCGCAGTGAAGGTGATACTGTATCCCTAGCAGCCTGGACATTCCCTGAGTTATTGTGGCTTTAAAACTGGACCATTGTCACTCTGTAAGCCTTAGGGAAGCCCAAATCTAGGAATTATTTCATCAATTAGGACTTCAATCACTTCCTGAGTCTTCTCTGTCTTGCAGGGGAAAGCTTCTATCCAATTTGTAAAGGTATCAACACAGACCAACAAGTATTGAAATCCCTTTGATTTAGGCCATATGGGTGAAGTCTAACTGCCAGTCCTCTCCAGGATAGTGACCTATTCTTTGTTCCCCCAAATGGGCCTTACAATGGACCAAGGGATTATTCCTTTGGCACACCTCACAGGTTTTGACTACCTGTTGGAAGGCCCAGAGTAGATTTGGCCCTGTGAATAGAGATGTGGCCATTTGATGAGTGTTTTCAATACCCATATGAAAAGTTTGGTGGAGGGTTTTAAGTATTTTCCACTGGCTGGCTTCGGGTATAAGTACCTTTCCTTCTTTTGTCGTTAACCACCCTGAGGGGAGAAAACTATGCCCCCATGAGAGTCCCCATTCTGTTTCATTTGGGGAATACTGGGGCTTAATCTCTTGGAGGGGTTTGTTCCATTCCAAGGGTCCTTCCATAGGTATTTCTAATGGGAGTATCCACCTGGCAGCAATTTTGGCCTCAGCATCTGCCTGACGGTTTCCTTCTGCCTTTTCTCCTTCACCTTTCTGATGGCTTTGGCAGTGTAAGACTGCCACCTCCTTGGGCTTTTGCAGTGCATGCAATAACTCCATAATCTCCTTGTGGCATTTAATGGGGGTACCCCCGGAGGTTAGGAACTCCCTTTCTTTCCATATTGCAGCATGGGCATGAGGGATTAGATAAGCATACTTGCTATCTGTATACACATTTATTCTTTTTCCCTTTCCCAGTTCTAAGGCTCAGGTAAGTGCCACTAGTTCTGTTAACTGGGTGCTGGTCCCTGGGGGAAGAGGCTTACTTTCAGGTACAGTTACATCACTAACTATGTCACAACCTGCCCTTCATATCCCATTTTCTGCAAATGAACTTCCATCGGTATATAGGTTAAGGTCAGGATTAGCTAAGGGGACTTCTAAGAGATCATCTTGGGTGGCATAAGTCTGGACTGTAATTTGTTGGCAGTCATGCTCAATTGGTTCCCCATTCTCTGGGAGAAAAGTGGCAGGGTTGAGGGCCACACATGTAGATATTTGAAGCACTGGTCCCTCAAGGAGTAGTGCCTGGTATCTAAGTAGGTGGTAGTCTGATAGCCATAAAATTCCTTTGGCACCTAGTATGCCATTTACAACATGAGTAGTCCAGACAGTGAGATCTTTCCTTGTATTATTTTGATAGCCTCTGACATGAAGATGGCCAGTGCTGCAACTACCCTTAAACAGTGAGGCCAGCCTTTTGCTACTACATCAATTTCCTTACTTAGGTATGCCACTGGTTGTGGGGTTGTCCCAAGAGTCTGAGTAAGGACTCCAAGAGCTATCCCTGCTCTCTCTGTGACATATAAAGAGAAGTTTGTGGGAAGGCTTAAAGCTGGAACTTGTACAGGGCCTGCTTTAAGGTTTTGAAGGCTGTTTCTGCCCCTGGTTACCATTCTACTAGATAAGTATTTGCCCTCTGGGTCTCCTTGATTAGAGTATGGAGGGGCCTGACTATCTCACTGTATCCAGGGATCCATAGTCGGCAAAAGCCGGTGATTCCAAGGAACCCCTGCAACTGTTTTAATGTCTTAGGGCAAGGATAAGCCAGTATAGGCTGTATTCATTCCTTGCTGAGGGCCCTGGTCCCTCTGGCTAAGATTAGGCCTAGATATTTAGCCTGCTGTAAGCAAAGCTGCACCTTTGACCTAGATGCCTTGTACCCTTGATTAGGTAGAAAGTTCAAGAGATCTAGAGTAGCCTGCTGGCATGAGGCTTCTGAACTGGTAGCCAAAAGTAAATCATCCACATACTGAAGGACCAAAGTGCCTGGACTTGAGAAGTGGCCTAGATCTTGGGCCA
This sequence comes from Homo sapiens, assembly GCF_000001405.40. NCBI lineage: Eukaryota > Metazoa > Chordata > Mammalia > Primates > Hominidae > Homo > Homo sapiens. Next base: position 115,237,097 of record NC_000006.12, read on the forward strand.
GTGCCTGACCAAACAGGTGAGGGCTATCCCTAAACCCTTGTGGCAAGACCATCCATGTAAGTTGGGACGTGTGGTCTGTGGGATCCTCAAAGGCAAACAGAAACTGGGAGTCAGAGTGCAGGGGAAACAGAAGAAGGCATCCTTGAGGTCCAGAACCATGAACCATTCTGCTTCCTCTGGTATTTGAGAAAGCAGGGTATAGGGGTTGGGTACAACTGGATATAGAGGAATTACTGCCTCATTGATGAGTCTAAGATCTTGCACTAGTCTCCAGTGACCATTTGGTTTTTGTACTCCTAGAATTGGGGTGTTGCAGGGACTGCTGCATTTCCTTACTAAGCCTTGAGCTTTTAAATGTTTAACAATATCCTGTAATCCTTTAAGAGCTTCAGGCCTTAAGGGATATTGCCTTTGATAAGGAAAAGTGGTGGAGTCTTTTAGCCTGATTTGGACTGGGTGGGCATTTTTTGCCCTTCCAAATTGTCCTTCCAATGCCCAGACTTCAGGGTTAATTCCCTCCTCAAGTAAGGGACAACAAATGGGTAACTTGTTCCCCATATTCATGTAGATAATAGCTCCAGCTTTGGCTAATATATCTCCCTAATAAAGGTGTGGGACTTTCAGGCATAACAAGAAAGGCATACAGAAAGAGCAAAGTCTCCCAATTACAACTGAGGAGGTGGGAGAAACACCTGGTTACAGGCTGCCCCAGGATTCCTCGGATGGTAACAGACCTTGAGGACAGTCATCCAGGAAAGGAGATTAGCACTGAGAAGGACGTGCCAGTGTCCAGGAGGAAGTCATTTTCCTGGCCCTCAATGGTTAAACATACCTGGGGCTCAGTGAGGGTGATGACATGAGCTGGCGTTTGCCCTGGGCACCCTCAGTCCTGTTGTTGGATCATCAGGTTGGGGGCTTCCAACCTAGAGAAACTTTGTCCTCTGGGGCAGTGCACCTTCCAGTGATTGCCTCGGCATAGTAGACACAGATAAGGGGGCAGCTTGTTTCTCACTGGACAATCTTTTTTAAAGTGTCCTTGTAAACCACACTGATAACAAGCCCTACCAGCTGATTGGCCTGCTCCATTTTCTGTCCTCTCTGAACCACCAAAGTTTGTTGGTCTGAGGGCCATGACTAAGGCTGCGGCCTTTTTCTGATCTCTTTTCCTTTGGGCCTGTTCCTCTTGGTCCCTATTATAGAACACCACGGTTGCCAGGTTTAATAATGCCTCAATATTTTGTTCAGGGCCCAGGGCTTGCTTTTGGAGCTTTCTACTGATATCTGCTGCTGATTGGGTAATAAACTTATCTTTTAGAATCAATTGACCCTCGAGTGATTCAGGTGACAGTGGAGTATATTTTCTTAAGGTCTCCTGAAGCCACCTGAAGAAGGCAGAAGGATTTTCTTCCTTTCCCTGATTTATGGTGGACATCATTGAATAAATCATGGGCTTTTTCCTAATTCTCCTTAGTCCTTCCAGAACACAGGTCAACAGATGTTTACGACTCCAGTCCCCATGATCTGAGTTGAGGTCCCAGTGGGGATCCATACTGGGGATGGCTTGCTGGCCAGTAGGGAATTTATCTCTTTCTTCGGCTGTCATTCTATCATTTACTTGACTAAGATACCAGGTATCTCCAAACTCTCAGGCTGCAGCTACAGCCACATTCTTTTCATTAAAGGCCAGGGTTTGATCTAACAATAGCATGACATCTCTCCAAGTGAGATCGAAGGTTTGCCCTAGACCCTGGAGGACATCTATGTGCCTATCAGGATCATCTGAAAACTTCCCCCAGTCTGCCTTGATCTGCTTTAAATCACAGAGGGAGAAGGGGACATGTACCTGGGTTGGGCCAAATTCTCCACCCCCTACAGCTTGAAGGGGACATAACCGATAGCCCAGGGGTTTTTGTGGTCCTTTGGAGATTTCTTTGCTTATTTCCTTCTGGGCAGGGGAGATTGGAGGAGGCTTGCCATTAATAGGAAGGAGAGCTCTAGGGAGGCTAGGATATGGGGGTAAGCTGAAAGGTCCTCCTGTGGGATGTAAATTGCAAGCTTTGCATAGTTGTGTATTCTCCTTCAGTGAAAAGAAAGCTTGTAATACCTTATGGTATTTCACTCCATTTACCTTCCCTCTTACAGAAAAGGTCAACCTGCAGGATAGTATTGTAATTTATACTTCCCTCAGGTGGCCATTTTTCCCCATCAGAGAGAGAATATTAGGGTCAGGCTGTAGTGCAGAAAAAAATGAGCTGCCTCTTTTTCAGGGTTTGTGGGTCAAATTGGTCCCAATGGCTTAGGATACATTTCAAGGGTGAGCGTGTTGATGCCTGAGTGTTTCCTATCAAACCGCCCATAGTTTTGGTTTGTTTTGTTTCTCCCCCTGCCCAAGAACCCACAATGGTCCCTGGACACTGCTGATCAGAATAGTTGCAATCACCGATGCAGCAGCAGAAACAACCCCTGCCCAAGAACTGGCAACAGTCTCTGGACCCTGCTGATTGGAATAGTTGTGCTCACCGACACAGCATCAGAAACACTAGATTTCCTCCTAGACCACAAGGAGGACCGAGGAAGGTAGGATTTAGTGGCCATTACCGATGCATTCTCAAAAACCTGTACCCTTGCCTGTCATCCTAGACCACAAAAAGGACCGAGAAAAATAGGATTTGGTGACCCTTATGACATATTCTTGAAAACCTGGTAGAGTCCTAAGCATTCTCCTGTTAGTATTGGGACCTTACCCGTGTCCTATAAAGATGTTATGCCCCAAAAATGAAGTTGAGGGCCATAACCTGAGGGAGGGAAGGGATCTCCAGAGTTGGAAGAGTGATGCCTTTTGTCCTCATTTATATGAATAGGAAGGATACAATTTATGAGGCTCCCCATATCCTAGCTTCAGGAATAGCTTTCGTTAGGCCTGCTATTCTAAGGAAGGATCCTAAAATTCCAGATAGTCCCCACTGCGACAGGGCTTTGGGAAAAAATTATGTCTTTCTGATTGGTGAGCCCAGTTGCCTAAAGAAGGGAATAGATTCCTGGAGTTTATACTAGAAATCATTCTTATAGGAGAAACTAGAAAAGCACCAGAGACAGGGAGTGGTTTTTAGAAGCAGGACTAGCCTTGGAGAAGAGAGGTGAGAGGAAGTTTGTCTGGCAGGCATTAGGACCCAGGAGGCAAGGGTCAGGGTAGATAGAATAGATGGGCAAGTCTCGCTTGGGTGACATGACTTTGAGAGTTCCGCTCATGACTGCAGGGTCAACCAACTTGTTTTCGGGACCCCCAGAGCTAAATGGCTTTCCTCTCTGTTGACCCTTGGCTCAGCCTAGAAGTATAGGAAAAGTGGAAGCTGGTTCCAGGCAAACCAACGCTCCCAACTCCAAAGAGTCAAGGGTTGTTAGAGAGCCCTTTCCCAGAAAGCCTGACACCCGTGTTTTTAGTCCAGTGGCCGTGCTAGTCACTATTAACTGGCTGACAGGTGCCCAGTATTTAGCCCCTGAATTCTAAGGAAAAATAGGACAGAATACCAAGTGAAAGGGGTCTGATGGTACTCACTGCTTGGCGCTATGCAATAGTCTCACCGCTTGGCGATAGGTGATAGTCCCTTCGTGGTTGCCAAAATGTGTCCAGAATTGGTGGGTTCTTGGTTTCAGTGACTTCAAGAATGAAGCTGTGGAACCTCGTGGTGAGTGTTACAGTTCTTAAAGATGGTGTGTCCAGAGTTTATTCCTTCTGATGTTCAGATGTGTCTGGAATTTCTTCCTTCTGGTGGGTTTGTGGTCTCGCTGACTTCAGGAGTGAAGCTTTGTGGTGAGTGTTACAGCTCTTAAAGTCAGCGCGTCTGGAGTTGTTCGTTCCTCCCGGTGGGTTCGTTGTCTCACTGACTTCAGGAATGAAGCTGCAAACCTTTGCAGTGAGTGTTACAGCTCATAAAGGTAGTGCGGACCCAAAGAGTGAGCAGTGGCAAGATTTATTGTGAAGAGCGAAAGAACAAAGCTTCCACAGCGTGGAAGGGGACCTGAGCGAGTTGCCGCTGCTGGCTCAGGTGTCCTGCTTTTATCCCGTTATTTGGCCCCACCTACATCCTGCTGATTGGTCCATTTTACAGAGCTCTGATTGGTCCATTTTACGGAGTGCTGATTGGTCCATTTTACGGAGTGCTGATTGGTCCATTTTACAGAGTGCTGATTGGTGTGTTTACAATCCTTTAGCTAGACACGGAGTGCTGATTGGTGCATTTACAATCCTTTAGCTAGACGCAAAAGTTCTCCAAGTCCCCACCCAATTAGCTAGACACAGAGTGCAAGCTCACAGTGTTGTTAGTTTGAGATCAAATATTAAAAGAAGGAATGCATTAAAGTTTCACTTGACTACAGCTTCTTTTTTAGCCTTTAAAAAGCGAAATAATTCTTCAACTAATTGAACATCATTCCTTATAAATAATAATAAAATAATAAAATAATATTATTATACAAATAATATAAAATACTTATAAATAAAATAATAAAGTAAAAATTTGAAATTAGCAATGTTTATTTGAATAAAATGTCACGATTATTCTGCATTGATAATGTTCAACTTTGGCTTCACGTGAGATTGACGGTTGATTTTAGCACCTAGCCATTTGCTATTCATCTAAAATACATATTTTATGCACCTCTTTTTTAACATTTGTAAAGTAGTTAGCATAGTTCTAGCACATAGTCAATAAAGGCTATCTACTTAGTGTTACTATTATTAGAGCAAATTGAAGCAATCTAATTAGATATTTTTTAATGTTACAACAATAGTGTTGAGGAGGTAATTGGAACAAAGGTCCATCTTATACATTGATGATGTAAGTACAAATTGACCTACTTTGGATAATTTGTAAATATGAATTAGAGGTCTTTAAACTGTCACTACTTATTGGTCCAGATGTTTCTACTTCTAGAAATTTATCATCAAGGGAAAAAGCCAGATAAGTTCGCAAAAATAAATGTACATGAAAGTTGATCTTAACGTGGCTTTTAATAGGAAAAATTGAATATAAAGTAGATATCAAAATATAGATTAAATAAATCAAGGTATCCATATAATCATGTACTGAGTTTCTGTTTAAAATGAGAATTTGGAAAGTATATTTCTTGATATGAAAATGTTGCAGTAATATATTGTTAAGTGGAAAGCCAGTTAAATTTCCATTTGCATTACTACAGTGTATATAACAGACAATGAAACAAAACCACTTCATAATGTTGTCTAAGCACCAATGAAAACAAGGTCACTGTGAGTACTGCATTACTAAATATCCTTCTCTTCTAGCTGATAGGAGTGACTGTGGCTTCCTTATAGCTTTAAACACTCCAGGTTTTTTCATCATTCTAGATAAGATTAGTAAAGATACCTGATTATAGAATTAAACTGCTTCTTCACAGCATACAATGCAGAGCAAATCCCAGTTTCCTTGAACCCCTTCAAAATCACTTCGCCCAAATCCTAAAATAAATCCTTTTTAATACACTTTAATTGAGACACCCTCTGGTTCCCCATGGTGTGTGTTCTCCCATGTTGCAATGAGTAATAAACTCAACTTTGTAAAGATACAGGTATGTTCCTGGTGGTCTTTGCTGGAGAACATTGAAAATTTATATATTATATTATATGTATATTATATAATATTACATTATATAACATTATATATTAACATTTAATTTTAAAGTGATTGTTTATAATAGTGTAATTTGTATTTTGGATTTAATTCATTTTTTCTTATACAAGTAACATTGATTTTTTAAAATTAAAAAATGTAATATATATGTTGGAATTTCTGTAAAATTGTTGAGGACAATAATTCATCACCGTATTGTGGACCCACAGGAGAATTTTCTTTTAAGCTTCAATACTTTTCATAGCTGTGTTTTCAAAGAACACTGTGAATCATATTACTCGTGGTACCTCCTTGTATTTCAGTTTACACTAGCAAATGCTTTAGTTGCCATAATCTTGTCTACTAATATCACTACAAGTTTTATCATATTTACTTATTTATTTTTAAGTTTATATTTGGTACCTAGTAATTATACATATTTATGTGCTATAGTGTGATATATTGATGCATGTACACATAGTATAAAAATCAAATCAGGATAATTATCATATTCATCATTTTAAACATTTATCCTTTATTGTGGTATCAACATGCAAAAATCTCTTCTCACTATCTTAAAATATACAATACATTATTATTTAGAATAACCCATATTTTCCTGTGCTTCTACTTTTTAAATCACGTAAAAATGATTTTATTTTGCCTTTTCTTGCAAATGGCCTTAAATAAACTTAGTCAGAAAATTGATTATAAATAAAATAAATACTTTTATTTGGTTGAGAGTTTTAAAATGGTACTATTTATTAAAGCACACATTGGTCACACAAAAGTTATTTCAAAATTATCCACAGATTTTTTTTAAAATGTGGAAGTCAAACAATGAAAACTTATCAAAATAAGCAAGAAATAATAGACCTGATTATTTCAATAATCAAGACATATGCATGTACAGACACAAATTGCCCACATTTATTTATTCATAACTTTTAATATTTTAAAATTGACAAATAAAATTGAATATATTTATCATGTACAACATATGGTTTGAAGTATATATACATTGTGAAATGATTCAATCTACCTAATTAACAAATGTATTACCTAACATAGTTATCATTTTTGTGGTGAGAGTACTTACTATCTACTCTCTTTACATTTTCAAGAATATAACATATTGTCATTAATTATAGTCCCCATGCTATATACAGCAGAATTTGTCAAGATAAATTCTGATGATGATTGTATTTTCAGAAATTTCTATTATTTTAAGCATGTTCGGTGTTTATCTTTTTGGAAAAAAAGAGGTTATTTTTACTCTTCAAGATTAGCAAAATGTAGTTATCAGTAGCTATGCAGTAAACTAAACAGATATTTAAAATTTTAAAAATAATCTAATTCTCATCTCTATTTCCCTCACTGAGAATATTAGGATTCTAATTTAACGTGTGGCACCTTTTAAAGTAGAATAATGTTGAGACATGACTCTGAGATTTAGAAAACAGACAAGGTTTCCTCCTCCATTTAAGAGTTATTGTCTTACATCATTTTATTTAATTGTTTTAATTAGAACTCAGAACTCAGTGAAACAGTGAATTGCATGAACTATGGAGTCAGATTACTCTATATGAATTCTCTACTTTCAAATCATATGATCTTGGACATGTTACTCTCTGTGCTTCAGTTTTCTCACCTATTAATTGGAAATGAAAAGAGTAACAAGGACTTGTTACACATTTTAAGTAAGTGAATATCTCTAAAGCAGTAGCATATGGAAGCTCTGTGCTTATAAGAGTCAAGTTGGGATTTTAATTTTTACCTTTTACATGAAAACAGGAGAAGAAAAAAGATTTGAAAACATAAATATATCCAACGAATATAAATTAAATATAAAGTTTTGTTATAATTTAAGTCAACATTCCCTTCAAAAAGTAATAAAAATTAATATTTTGCAACTAAATTCCTGATGGAAAAGAATTAAATTAAAATGTAATTAATAAAAATTATTTCTTGTTCACTGAGTCATAAAACTTTTTTTCTTTAAAATATTTATTTTCCCTTTAGTGTGTGTGTGTGTGTGTGAGTATGTGTGTGTGTGAGTATGTGTGTGTGTGTGTGTGTGTGTGTGTGTGTGTGTGTGTGTCTTAACAACCCAACCCAACATTTAGTCATAAAAATAAACTGTTTTTATAATTTTCCTGGTTTGGGCTTTATTATTGCTAATTTTGCCATTTTATATCTTTGTGTTATCTGTGATAAAAGCTATGTAACCAGGATGCATTTCACTGTTATTAGTATCATAAAAGTTCAGTAATATAAGCATTAAGTACTGTGCACTAAATAGTTAACATCTATAATTAAAAATAAAATTTATAACTTTTAAGTCTCTGATCTTTCTAGAGGTGATTTATAATCTGACTTTTCTACCTTTTGTCAAATTGAACATAATATTTAGAGGGGCTTTCAGGGCTGTAGAACGCTGTTAGTAAATAAATTATCATTTATCACATGATAAACATTATGCACCAAAGTACCAACAACTCTTCAAATCATTACTAGAGCTTTCAATAGGTCAAACCCACCATTCTCTAAGGTTTTACAATTATATTATTGTATGAAACATATGCTGTGAAACAATTCTATTAAATCTCAGATACAGGACAGGGCCTGTATGAAGAAAAAATCTACTCTCTTACACAGGAATTTAATTTGTGGTACTATTAAGGTAACTTAGGTTTATATCTTTTGAACTCACTGTGAAAAATTACAGAGGACTTTATAAACTTTTATTTTTAGTCAATTTTCCATAAGATAATTTCTTCAAATATATACTTTGATATATATTTTGAAGATCATTCCTTCAAAACATACTAATAAATGTAACATCACAATACTTTTTTAAAGGATATGAAAATGCTTCTAGATTTTGATGGGTAATATATCAGGCTTGCATGTTAATCAGATATTATTAACCAAGATAAGATGATGCAGAGCAAGATGGCTGAATAGAAGCCTTCACAGATCATCCTCCCCACAGGAACACCAAGTTGAATAACTATATCCACACAAAGAAGCTTCCACATAAGAACCAAAATCAGGTGAGTGATAACAGTACCTGCTTGTAACTTCATATCATTGAAAGAGGCACTGAGGCAGGTAGAAAAGACAGTCTTGAATCACTGATATCATTGCCTCCCCCATCCCCTGGCAGTGGCTACAGGGCACAGAGAAAGAATCCGTGTGCTTGGGTGAGGAAGAGTACAGCGATTGTGGGACTTTGCATGGGAACCTAGTGCTGCCCTATCACAGTGGAAAGCAACACAGGGTACAACTCAGCCAGCACCTATGAAGGGAGCATTTAGACCAGACCTAGCCACAAGGGAATCACCCATTTCAAGGATTGAAATCTGAGTTCTGGCAAGCCCTGCCACCTCAGGCTAAAGTGATCTGGGGTATTAAATAAACTTGAAAGACAGTCTGGGCAACAAGGCCTGCAGTTCCTGGGCAAGTTCTGGTGCTATGCAGGGCTCAGAGCCAGGGAACTTGGGATGCACACCGACTAGTGAGATATCAGCTATGGCAGCCAAAAGAGTGCTTGCCCCATTGCTCTCCTAACCTGGAGAAGCTCAGCTTGCAGCTCTGGAAGAGACTCCTTCCCTCTGCTTGAGGAGAGAGAGGGAAGAGTAAAGAGGACTTTGTCTTGCAACTTGGAAACCATCTCAGCCACAGTAGCAAAGGGCAATAAGCAAAGTCCTGAGGCTTCCATATCAAGCCGTAGCTTCCAGATGACATTTCCAGACACATGCTGGGCCAAAAGGGAACCCACTGCACTGAAGCAAAGGACCCAGTCCTAACAATATTCATCACATGCTGACTAAAGAGACATTGGGCCCTGAATAAGCAGCAGTGGTATCCAGGCAGGACTCACTGCAGGCTCTGAGTGAGATTCAGAGATGTGCTGGCTTCTGGTGTGACCCAGCACATTCCCAGCTGTGGTGGCTATGAGAAAAAGAGAGGGAAGGCTAATGGAGACTTTGTTTTGCAGCTTAGATACCAGCTCAGCCACAGTGGGGTAAAGAACCAAGTGGGCTCTTGGGCGTCCCAATTCCAGGCCCTGGCTTTTAGATGGCATTTCTGAACCTGCCTGCATGAGAGGAGATCCCACTGCCCTGATGGAAGAGTCCCAGGCCTAGAAGCATTCACTACAAGCTGAGTGAAGAGCCCTTGGGCCTTGAGTGAACATTGGTGATAGCTAGGTAGTACGTGTCACAGCCCTGGGATGGTGGTGGCCACAGAGAAAGACTCCTCTACTTGTGGAAAGGGGAGGGAAGAGGGAAAAGAACTTTATCTTGTGGCTTGGAGGCCAATGCAGCCACTGTAGAATACAGCAACGTGTAGATTCCTAACATCTCTGATTCTAGCTCCTGGCTACCAGACAGCATCTTCAGACCCATGCAGTACTTGGGGGGGATCTTGTTACCCCGAAGAAAAGGACATAAGCCTGGTAGCTTTGCCACCTCCTGATTGTAGAGCCCTAGCACCTTAAGTTAACATAAGCAGTAGCCAGGCAGTAGTTACCATGGGCCATGGACGAGATCCAGTGTTATGCTGGCTTCAGGTCTGACCTAGTGCAGTCCTAGTTGGGGTAGCCACAGGGGTGCTTGTGTCACTGCTTCCCCAGCTCCAGGCAGCTCGGTACAGAGAGAGAGGGGCTTTGTTTGGGAGAAAGTAAGGGATGAGAACAAGAGTCTGCCTGGGAATCTACAGAATTCCTCTGTATCTTATCCAAGACCAAACAGGTGCTACCTCTATGAGTCTTCAAGAATCACAGCATTGCTAGGCTTAATGCAGATACAGCTGCAGTGACCAAAGACTTAGATCACAAAACCCAAGTCCTTTTGAATACCTGGAGAGCCTTCCCAAGAAGGATTGGTACAAACAAATGCAGACTGTGAAGACTACAATAAATACCTAAATCTTCAATGTGAAGACATTTATAAACATCTACAAGCATCAAGACCATCCAGGAAAACATGACCTCACAGGATGAACTAAATAAGGCATCAGGGACCAATCCCAGAGAGACAGAGATATGTGACCTTTCATACAGATAATCCAAAATACTGTTTTGAGGAAACTCAACAAAATCCAAGATAGCAAGATGGCACAGAGATGGAATTCAGAATACTATTAGATAAATTTAACAAAGAGATTGAAATAAAAAGAATCAAGCAAAATTCTGGTGCTGAAAAATGCAATTGACATACTGAAGAAGCATCAAGATCTCTTAAAAGCAAAATTCATAAAGGAGAAGAAAGAATTAGTAAACTTTAAGAAAGCCTATTTGAAAATATATAGTCAGAGGAGACAAAAGAAAAAAATAAAAATGAATAAAGCACATGTACAAGAGCTAGAAAAAAGGGCAAATCTAAGAGTTATTAGCCTTAAAGTGGAGATAGAGAAAGAAATAGGAAAATTTTATTCAAAGACATAACAACAGAGTAATTTTCAAACCTAGAGAAAGATATCAATATTCAAGTACAAGAAGATTATAGAACACCAAGCAGATTTAACCCAAAGAAGACTATATCAAGATATTTAATAATCAAACTTCCAAAGGTCAAGGGTAAAGAAAGCAGCAAGAGAAAAGAAACAAATAACATATAATGGAGCTCCATTAAGTGTGGCAGGAGATTTTTCAGTGGAAAATTTATAGGCTGGAGAGTGGCATGACATATTTAAAGTGCTCAAGGAGAGAAAAAAAAACAACAACATTTATTCTAGAATTGTCTATCCAGAAAAAAAATCCCTCAAAAATTAACAAGAAATAAGCAGTTTCCCAGACAAACAAAAGCTGGGAGGGATTTCATCAACATCATAACTGTCATACAAGAAATGCTAATGGGAGTTCTTCAATTTGAAAACAAAAAGATGTTAATGGGCAATAGGAAATAATCTGAAGGCATAGAATTCACTAGTAATAGTAAATACACTGAAAAACAGAACATTATAACACTGTAATTGTGGTGTATAAACTAATATCTCAAGTAGAAAGATTAAAAGGTAAACCAATCAAAATAATAACTACAACTTTTCAAAACAGTACAATCAGATATAAATATAAAAGAACAGAAATATAAAAAGGGGGGACAAAGTTCAAGTGTAGAATTTTTATTAGTTTACTCTTTGCTTACTTGTTAGCTAGTGTGTGCAATCAGTGTTAAATTGTCATCAGTTTAAAATAATGGGTTGTAACATATTATTTGCAAGCTTCACAGTAACCTCAAAACAACAAACATATAACAGATACACAAAATAAAAAGCAAGAAATTAAAACATGCACCAGAGAAAATCACCTTCATTAGAAGGGAGACAGGAAGGAAGAAAAGAAGAAAGAGTAGACCACAATACCACCTGTAACATGTGTGTGTATTTGTTACATGAAAAGATGAAACAAAATGGCAAGAGTAAGTTCTTACTTATCAATAATAACCTTGAATATGAATACATGGAACTCTTCAATCAAAAGGCACAGAAGTGCTTAATGTATTAAAAAACATAAGATCTAACAATCTATTGCTTATAAGAAACAAATTTACCTATAAAGACATACATAGCCTCCAAATAAAGGAATGGAAAAAGATATTACATATAAGTGGAAACCAAAAAAGAGCAGGAGTAGCTCTAGTTATATCAGACAAAAGAGGTTTCACGACAAAACAATATAAAACAAAAGTCATTATATTATATGCCCCAACACTGGAACATTCCAGATATATAAAGCAAATATTATAACTAAAGAGAGAGCTGAACCTTAATACAGTAATAGCTAAAAATTTTAACACCCTACTTTCAGTATTAGAGGGATCACCTAGACAGAAAAATCAACATAGAAACATTGGACGTAATCTGTACTATAGACCAAATGGACCTGAAAAATATTTACAGGATATTTTATCTAATGGCTGCAGAATATATTCTCCTCATCGCACAAATTATTCTCAAGGATAGACAACATTTTACACAAAATGAGACTTAAAACATTGAAAAAATTGAGATTATATCAAATATCTTCTCTGACCATAATGGAGTAAGGCTAGAAATCAATAATGAGTTTGGGAATCTATACAACTACATGGCAATTAAACAATATGCCACTGAATGACCAGTGGGTAAATGAAAAAATTAAGAAGGAAAATGAAATTTTTTTGAAATGAATAACAGAAACACAACATTCCAAAACCTGTGAGATACAGTGAATGCAGTACTAAGAGGGAAGTCTATATCTCTAAGTGCTTACATCAAAGAAGTAAAAAACTTCAAATAACCCAAAAAAACTAGAAAAGTAAGAGCAGACCAAACCCCAAATTAGTAGAAGAAAAAATAAAGGGTAGAGCCAAGATGGCTGAATAGGAACAGCTCTGGTCTACAGCTCCCAGCATGAGCGATGCAGAAGATGGGTGATTTCTGCACTTCCATCTAAGGTACCGGGCTCATCTCACTAGGGAGTGCCAGGCAGTGGGTGCAGGACAGTGGGTACAGCACATTGTGCATGAGCCAAAGCAGGGCGAGGCACTGCGTCACTTGGGAAGTGCAAGGGGTCAGGGAGTTCTCTTTCCTAGTCAAAGAAAGGAGTGACAGATGGCACCTGGAAAATCGGGTCACTCCTACCCTAATACTGCGCTTTTCCAAAAGGCTTAAAAAACGGCACACCAGGAGATTATATCCCGCACATGGCTCGGAGGGTCCTACGCCCACAGAGTCTCACTGATTGCTAGCACAGCAGCTGAGATCAAACTGCAAGGTGGCAGCGAGGCTGGGGGAGGGGCGCCTGCCATTGCCCAGGCTTGATAAGGAAAACAAAGCCACCGGGAAGCTCAAACTGGGTGGAGCCCACCACAGCACAAGGAGGCCTACCTACCTCTGTAGGCTCCACCTCTGGGGGCAGGGCACAGACAAACAAAAAGATAGCAGTAACCTCTGCAGACTTAAATGTCCCTGTCTGACAGCTTTGAAGAGAGTAGTCATTCTCCCAGCACACAGCTGGAGATCTGAGAGCCGGCAGACTGCCTCCTCAAGTGGGTCCTGGAGCCCCGAGCAGCCTAACTGGGAGGCATCCCCCAGTAGGGGCAGACTGACACCTCACACGGCAGGGTACTCCTTTGAGACAAAACTTCCAGAGGAACGATCAGGCAGCAGCATTTGCGGGTCATCAAAATCCGCTGTTCTACAGCCACCACTGTTCTGCAGCCACCGCTGCTGACACCCAGGCAAAAAGGGTCTGGAGTGGACCTCTGGCAAACTCCAACAGACCTGCAGCTGAGGGTACTGTCTGTTAGAAGGAAAACTAACAAACAGAAAGGACATACACACCAAAAACCCATCTGTACATCACCACCATCAAAGACCAAAAGTAGATAAAACCACAAAGATGGGGAAAAAACAGAGCAGAAAAACTGGAAACTCCAAAAACCAGAGTGCCTCTCCTCCTCCAAAGGAACGCAGCTCCTCACCAGCAATGGAACAAAGCTGGATGGAGAATGACTTTGACGAGTTGAGAGAAGAAGGCTTCAGACAATCAAACAACTCTGAGCTACAAGAGGAAATTCAAACCAATGGCAAAGAAGTTAGAAACCTTGAAAAAAATTAGACGAATGGATAACTAGAATAAGCAATGCAGAGAAGTCCTTAAAGGAGCTGATGGAGCTGAAAGCCAAGGCTTGAGAACTTCATGAAGAATGCAGAAGCCTCAGGAGCTGATGCAATCAACTGGAAGAAAGGGTATCAGTGATGGAAGACGAAATGAATGAAATGAAGTGAGAAGAGAAGTTTAGAGAAAAAAGAAAGAAAATAAATGAACAAAGCCTCCAAAAAATACGGGACTATGTGAAAAGACCAAATCTACATCTGATGGGTGTACCTGAAAGTGACGGGGAGAATTGAACCAAGTTGGAAAACACCCTGCAGGATATTATCCCGGAGAACTTCCCCAATCTAGCAAGACAGGCCAACATTCAGATTCAGGAAATACAGAGAATGCCACAAAGATACTCCTCGAGAAGAGCAACTCCAAGACGCATAATTGTCAGATTCACCAAAGTTGAAATGAAGGAAAAAATGTTAAGGGCAGCCAGAGAGAAAGGTCGGGTTACCCACAAAGGGAAGCCCATCAGACTAACAGCAGATCTCTCAGCAGAAACTCTACAAGCCAGAAGAGAGTGGGGGCCAATATTCAACATTCTTAAAGAAAAGAATTTTCAACCCAGAATTTCATATCCAGCCAAACTAAGCTTCATAAGTGAAGGAGAAATAAAATCCTTTACAGACAAGCAAATGCTGAGAGATTTTGTCAACACCAGGCCTGCCCTAAAAGAGCTCCTGAAGGAAGCAGTAAACATAGAAAGGAACAACCGGTACCAGCCACTGCAAAAACATGCCAAAATGTAAAGACCATAAAGGCTAGGAAGAAACTGCATCAACTAACGAGCAAAATAACCAGCTAACATCATGATGACAGGACCAAATTCACACATAACAATATTAACTTTACTGTAAATGGGCTAAATGCTCCAATAAAAAGACACAGACTGGCAAATTGGATAAAGAGTCAAGACCTATCAGTGTGCTGTATTCAGGAAACCCATCTCACATGCAGAGACACACATAGGCTCAAAATAAAGGGATGGAGGAAGATCTACCAAGCAAATGGAAAACAAAAAAGGGCAGGGGTTGCAATCCAACTCTCTGATAAAACAGACTTTAAACCAACAAAGATCAAAAGAAACAAAGAAGGCCATTACATAATGGTAAAGGGATCGATTCAACAAGAAGAGCTAACTATCCTAAATATATACGTACCCAATACAGGAGCACCCATATTCATAAAGCAAGTCCTTAGTGACCTACAAAGAGACTTAGACTCCCACACAATAATAATGGGAGACTTTAACACCCCACTGTCAACATTAGATAGATCAGTGAGACAGAAAGTTAATAAGGATATCCAGGAATTGAAGTCAGCTCTACAGCAAGCAGACCTAATAGACATCTACAGAACCCTCCACCCCAAATCAACAGAATTTACATTCTTTTCAGCACCACACCACACCTATTCCAAAATTGATCACACAGTTGGAAGTAAAGCTCTCCTCAGCAAATGTAAAAGAACATAAATTATAACAAACTGTCTCTCAGACCACAGTGCAATCAAACTAGAACTCAGGATTAAGAAACTCACTCAAAACCACTCAACTACATGGAAACTGAACAACCTGCTCCTGAATGACTACTGGGTACATAACGAAATGAAGGCAGAAATAAAGATGTTCTTTGAAACCAATGGGAACAAAGACACAACAGAACACAATCTCTGGGACACATTCAAAGCAGTGTGTAGAGGGAAATTTATAGCACTAAATGACCACAAGAGAAAGCAGGAAAGATCCAAAATTGACACCCTAACATCACAATTAAAAGAACCAGAAAAGCAAGAGCAAACACATTCAAAAGCTAGCAGAAGGCAAGAAATAACTAAAATCAGAGCATAACTGAAGGAAATAGAGACAAAAAAAAAACCCTTCAAAAAATCAATGAACCCAGGAGCTGGCTTTTTGAAAACATCAACAAAATTGATAGACCGCTAGCAAGACTAATAAAGAAGAAAAGAGAGAAGAATCAAATAGATACAATAAAAAATGATAAAGGGGATATCACCACCGATCCCACAGATATACAAACTGCCATCAGAGAATACTACAAACACCTCTACGCAAATAAACTAGAAAATCTAGAAGAAACGGCTAAATTCCTCGACACATACATCCTCCCAAGACTAAACCAGGAAGAAGTTGAATCTCTGAATAGACCAATAACAGGCTCTGAAATTATGGCAATAATCAATAGCTTACCAACCAAAAAGAGTCCAGGACCAGATGGATTCACAGCCGAATTCTACCAGGGGTACAAGGAGGAGCTGGTACCATTCCTTCTGAAACTATTCCAATCAATACAAAAAGAGGGAATCGTCCCTAACTCATTTTATGAGGCCAACATCATCCTGATACCAAAGCCGGGCAGAGACACAACAACAAAAGAGAATTTTAGACCAATACCCTTGATGAACATTGATCCAAAAATCCTCAATAAAATACTGGCAAACCGAATCCAGCAGCACATCAAAAAGCTTATCCACCATGATCAAGTGGGCTTCATCCCCGGGATGCAAGGCTGGTTCAACATTCACAAATCAAAAAATGTAATCCAGCATATAAACAGAACCAAACACAAAAACAACATGATTATCTCAATAGATGCAGAAAAGGCCTTTGACAAAATTCAACAATGCTTCATGCTAAAAACCTTCAATAAATTAGGTATTGATGGGATGTATCTCAAAATAATAAGAGCTATCTATGACAAACACACAGTGAATATCATACTGAATGGGCAAAAACTGGAAGCATTCCCTTTGAAAACTGGCACAAGACAGAGATGCCCTCTCTCACCACTCCTATTCAACATAGTGTTGGAAGTTCTGGCCAGGGCAATTAGGCAGGAGAAGGAAATAAAGGGTATTCAATTCGGAAAAGAGGAAGTCAAATTGTCCCTGTTTGCAGATGACATGATTGTATATCTAGAAAACCCCATTGTCTCAGCCCAAAATCTCCTTAAGCTGATAAGCAACTTTAGCAAAGTCTCAGGATACAAAATCAATGTACAAAAATCACAAGCATTCTTATACACCAATAACAGACAAACAGAGAGCCAAAGCACGAGTGAACTCCCATTCGCAATTGTTTCAAAGAGAATAAAATACCTGGGAATCCAACTTATAAGGGATGTGAAGGACCTCTTCAAGGAGAACTACAGACCACTGCTCAATGAAATAAAAGAGGATACAAACAAATGGAAGAACATTCCATGCTCATGGGTAGGAAGAATCAATATCGTGAAAATGGCCATACTGCCCAAAGTAATTTATAGATTCAATGCCATGCCCATCAAGCTACCAATGGCTTTCTTCACAGAATTGGAAAAAACTACTTTAAAGTTCATATGGAACCAAAAAAGAGCCCGCATTGCCAAGTCAATCCTAAGCCAAAAGAACAAAGCTGCAGACATCACACTACCTGACTTCAAACTATACTACAAGGCGACAGTAACCAAAACAGCATGGTACTGGTACCAAAACAGAGATATAGATCAATGGAACAGAACAGAGCCCTCAGAAATAATGCCACATATCTACAACCATCTGATCTTTGAAAACCTGACAAAAACAAGCAATGGGGAAAGGATTCCCTATTTAATAAATGGTGCTGGGAAAACTGGCTAGCCATATGTAGAAAGCTGAAACTGGATCCCTTCCTTACACCTTATACAAAAATTAATTCAAAATGGATTAAAGACTTACATGTTAGACCTAAAACCATGAAAATCCTAGGAGAAAACCTAGGTAATACCATTCAGGACATAGGCATTGGCAAGGACTTCATGTCCAAAACACCAAAAGCAATGGCAACAAAAGACAAAATTGACAAATGGGATCTAATTAAACTAAAGAGCTTCTGCACAGCAAAAGAAACTACCATCAGGGTGAACAGGCAACCTACAAAATGGGAGAAAATTTTCGCAACCTACTCATCTGACAAAGGGCTAATATCCAGAATCTACAATGAACTCAAACAAATTTACAAGAAAAAAACAAACAACCCCATCAACAAGTGGGCAAAGGATATGAACAGACACTTCTCAAAAGAAGATATTTATGCAGCCAAAAAACACATGAAAAAATGCTCATCATCATTGGCCATCAGAGAAATGCAAATCAAAACCACAATGAAATACCATCTCACACCAATTAGAATGGCAATCATTAAAAAGTCAGGAAACAACAGGTGCTGGAGAGGATGTGGAGAAATAGGAACACTTTTACACTGTTGGTGGGACTGTAAACTAGTTCAACCATTGTGGAAGTCAGTGTGGCGATTCCTCAGGGATCTAGAACTAGAAATACCATTTGACCCAGCCATCCCATTACTGGGTATATACCCAAAGGATTATAAATCATGCTGCTATAAAGACACATGCACATGTATGTTTATTGCGGCACTATTCACAATAGCAAAGACTTGGAACCAACCCAAATGTCCAACAATGATAGACTGGATTAAGAAAATGTGGCACATATACACCATGGAATACTAGCCAGCCATAAAAAATGATGAGTTCATGTCCTTTGTAGGGACATGGATGAAACTGGAAACCATCATTCTCAGCAAACTATCGCAAGGACAAAAAACCAAACACCGCATGTTCTCACTCATAGGTGGGAATTGAACAATGAGAACACATGGACACAGTAAGGGGAACGTCACACTCTGGGGCCTGTTGTGGGGTGGGAGGAGGGGGGAGGGATAGCATTAGGAGATATACCTAATGTTAAATGATGAGTTAATGGGTGCAGCACACCAACATGGCACATGTATACATATGTAACAAACCTGCACATTGTGCACATGTACCGTAAAACTTAAAGTGTGATAATAATAAAAAAATTTTAAAAAAAAGATCAGTGCAGAGATAAATAAAATTAAAATGAAGAAAACAATACAAAAGATAAATGAAATAAAAATACGTTTTTTTTAGCAAAGATATACAAAGTCAACAAAGACTTTTAGCTGTACTAACTATGAAGAAAAGAGAGAAGACCCAAATAAATAAAAGAAGAGATGAAAAAGGAGACATTACAACTGAAATTCAAAGGATCATTTCAGGCTACTGTGAGCAACTATTAAGTACATGGCAATATTCTGGAGAACTTAGAAGAAATAAATGAATTTCTAGACAAATATTAATACAACCTACCAAGATTGAAGCATAAAGAAATCCAAACCCTGAATAGACCAAAAACAAATAACAAGAACAAATCCATAATAAAAAATTTCCCAGCAAAAAGAGCCCAGGACCTGATGACTTCACTGCTGAATTCTACCTAACATTTAAAGAGAACTTATACCAATTCTACTCAAACTATTCTGAAAAAAACAGAGGAGAAAAGAATACTTCCAAACTCATTCTGTAAGGCTGTTATTACCTTGATACCCAAACCAGACAAAACATATTAAAAATAAAGAAAACTGCAGGACAATATGCCTGATGAATATTGATGCAAAAATCTTCAACAAAATACTAGCAAACTGAATTCAACAACATATTAAAAAGATCATTCATCATGACCAAATGAGATTGATCCCAAAAACACAAGCATGGCTCAACCTATGCAAATCAATCAATGTGATACATCATATTGATAAAATGAGGGATAAAAACTATATGATCGTTTCAAGTGATGCTGAAGAGACATTTGATAAAATTCAATATCCCTTTATAATTTAAAAAAAAAAAACCTTAAAAAATTTGGTATAGAAGAAACATACCTCAATACAATAAAAGGTCATGTACAACAGATCCACAGCTAGTATAATAATGAATGGGGAAATACTGAAAGCCTTTCCTCTATGTTCTGGAACACAACAAGAATGCCCATTTTCATCACTGCTGTTCCACATAGTACTGGAAGTCCTAGCTACAGCAATCAGACAAGAGAAAAAAAATAAAGGGCATCCAAGTGGAAAAGGAGAGAGTCAAATTATTCTTGTTTGTAGATAATATAATCTTATTTTTGGAAAAATACAAGATTCCACAAAAAATCTATTAAACTGATAAGTTCAGTAAAGTTGCAGGATATAAAATCAACATATGAAAATCAGTAGCATTTCTATATATCAACAGTTGACAATATGAAAAAGAAATCAAATAAGTAATTTAATTTAAAATAGCGACAAATAAAGTTAAATACTTAGGAATTTACTTAACCAAAGAAGTGAAAGATCTCTACAATAAAAACTATAAAACATTTATGTAAGAAATTGAAGAGGACACCAAAAATATGGAAATATATTTCATGTTCACAGATTGGATTAATATTGTTAAACTGTCCATACTACCCAAAGCAATCCATAGATTCAATGCAACCCTGATATAGTTTGAATGTATGTAGGCACCAAAATCTCATGTTGAACTTTAATCCCCAGTGTTGGAGGTGGAGCCTGGTGTAAGATGTTTAGATTATGAAGGTGAATCCCTCATGAACGGCTTGGGCCATCTGCTTGGTGATAAGTGAGCTCTTGTTCTGAGTTCACATGAGATACAGTCATTTAAAAGCCTGTGGTACCCAAACTCTCTCTTGCTCTTGCTTCTGTTCACGCCATGTGATATACCTGCTATCCTTTGCCTTTGCCTTCTGCCATGATTGGAAGCTTCCTGAGTCCTCCCCAGAAACAGATGTAACTATGCTTCCTGTACAGCCTGCAGAACCAAGAACAAACTGAAACTCTTTTGTTATAAATTGCCCAGGATTAGGTGGGTGTTTTGTTTTGTTTTGTTTTGTTTTGT
This sequence comes from Homo sapiens, assembly GCF_000001405.40. NCBI lineage: Eukaryota > Metazoa > Chordata > Mammalia > Primates > Hominidae > Homo > Homo sapiens. The sequence goes on from NC_000006.12 coordinate 115,258,141, forward strand.
TTTGTTTTTTGAGATGGAGTCTCGCTCTGTCTCCCAGGCTGGAGTGCAATGATACAATCTCGGCTCACTGCAACCTCCACCTCCCCGTTCAAGCAATTCTCCTGCCTCAGCCTCCTGAGTAGCTGGGATTACAGGCGCACGCCATCATGCCCGGCTAATTTTTGTATTTTTAGTAGAGACGGGGTTTCACCACATTGGTCAGGCTGGTCTCGAACTCCTGACCTCATGATCCACCCGCCTTGGCCTCCCAAAGTGCTGGGATTACAGGCGTAAGCCACCATGCCCAGCCAGGTGGTTTTTTATAGTAGTGCAAGAATGGCCGAATACAAACCCCTATCAAAATACCAATGACATTTGTCAGGGACATTTTTAAAAATTCTGAAATTTATATGGAACCACAAAAGACCCAGAATAGCCAAAACTAACCTGAGCAAAAAGAACAAACCTGGAAGAATCACATTACCTGACTTCAAAGTGTACTACAGAGCTCTTATAATCAAAACATCATGGTACTAGCATAACAACAGACACATAGACCAATGGAACACAATAGAGAACCCAGAAACAAATCCATACACCTACTGTGAACTCATTTTTGACAAAGGTGCCAAGAACATACATGGGAGAAAGGACAGTATCTCCAAATAAATGGTGCTGAGAAAAGTGGATATACATATGCATAAGAATGTAACTAGACCCCTATCTCTTGCTGTATACAAAAGTCAAACAAAAATTGATTAAAGGCTTTAAAACTTCCAACTATGAAACTAATGTAAGAAAACATTGGAGAAACTCTCCATGACATTAGACTGGGAAACATTTCTTGAGTAATACCCCACAAGCACAGGCGACCAAAGTAAAAATGGACAAATTGGATCACATTAAGTTAAAAAGCTTCCACATAGAAAAGAAAACAACAAAGTGAAGAGATAAGACAACCCACAAGGTGGGAGAAAATATTTGCAAACTACCCATCGGACAAGGGATTAATAATCAGAATACATAAGCAGCTCAAACAACTCTATGGGAAAAAGATATAATAATCCAACTTAAAAATTAGCAAAAATCTAAATAGACATTTCTCAAAAGAAGACCCACAAATGGCAAACAAGTATACGAAAAAGTGCTCAACATCACCAATCATCAGAGATATGCAAATTAAACTAAAATGAGATATTATCTCATCTCAGTTAAAATGGCTTTTATCCAAAAGACAGGCAATAATAAGTGATGGCAGAATGTGGAGAAAAGTCAACCTTTGTACAATCTTAGTGGGAATGTAAATTAGTACAACCACTATATAGAACAGTTTGGAGGTTCCACCAAAAACTAAAAATAGAGCTTCCATATGATATAGCAATCCCACTGCTACAAAAAAGGAAAAAAAATAAAGAACATCCAAACTGAAAAGGAGAAAGTAAAATTATTCTTGTTTGCAGATAATATGGTCTTATATTTGGAAAAACCTGAAGAGTCTGCTCTCCTATGTTTATTGCAGCACTGTTCACTGTAGCGAAGATTTGGAAGCAAGCTTAGTGTCCATCAACAGATGACTAGATGAAGAAAATGTGGTACATATACACAGGGGAGTACTATTCAGCCATAAAAATAATGGGATTCTGTCATTTGCAAAAACATGGATAGAACTGGCAATCATTATGTTAAGTGAAATAAGCTAGAGATAGAAAGACAAACACTGCATGTTCTCACTTATTTATAAGAGTTTATTTTATAAATTAGAACTTTGGTACACTTCTAATTTATAAAAATTAAAACAATTGAACTCATGGAGACAGAGAGTTAGAATCATGGTTACCAGAGGCAGGGAAGGGTAGTACGGGGTTTGGCGAGCAGCGGTGGTTAATGTGCACAAAGATATAATTAGATAGAATGAATAAGATCTTGTATTTGATAGCACAATAGGGTGACTGCAGTCAACAATAATTTATTGTACAACAATAAATACAACTAAACAACTAAAATAGTATAATTGGATTGTTTGTAATACAAAAAAAGGATAAAAGCTTAATGTAGTGGATACCCCATTTACTCTGATGTGGTTATTATGCATTGCATGCCTGTATCAAAATGTCTTACGTACTCCACAAATACATACACCTCCTATGTACTCACAAAAATTAAAAATTATAAAAACAAATAATTATTAAGCATATAAAATTGGGAACTTTATCAAAGAAGCAAACACTATATTTAAACATATGGAAATAAGTATTGTTTGAAAGTACTTAAATCATACTTACAACAATATGTTAACATTAAATATATTTTTTTCCCACTGACCTTTGACTAATTATGTGATGTAGACATGAACATTTGATTTTCTGTGTATAAGTCCATCCTTACATGTTAAACAATTATTCAATTGCAAATATCTGGACAATAATTGTTGGAATTTTCACCAAATATGTAAAACTAGAAATTAGAGTTTTTTCAAGTTTTAGCAAATTAAAAATATTAATAACCTGATAAAATTTTAATAATATAAACATACATTTATTTTGTAAGAGTGGTAAGATTATCTGTGGACTTCTCATATAATGCTATGCATATCCTTGGATTGCTTTATGCTGTGGCAACAGGTATTCAAAGCCAATGGTGAACATGGCATGTAGCTTCCTGGAATTTATTTTATATTCTAAGATTTAGAGGAGCAAATGCATTATTTTATATTAAAATAGACATAGGCATATTATAAACTAAAATTGGCATAAAATTTTAGGATAAAATTATATTTATTTGTAATTTTTTTAGTACAACCAACCAGTTACAGCCATGTTTCTGATTTTCAGAAAATGATTACTGATCTTTATTTTTTTTGGTGAGAATTTTAAGAAGTATTAGATTATTTCTTTTCCAGTTCTTAATAAAATACTTGCATGTATTTATAATACCATCATTCTTTCTGGATAATTTTATGAGTAATCTTTAACTAACATATCTCTTCGATAAATAAACATAATTGGCCATGAACAAGACTATTAGGTGACTAATAACTCCCACTCCCCAGGCAGCTCGTAATCACAAAATTGAACCTATGAAATTATTAGCTACTTTGGAAATGCACTTTTAAAAGAATGGTTTAGCTTGTAAATGCAAATGAAAATTATTCTAAGTAGGAGAAACTACTTAACAGATTGTATTAATTGATTTTCTTACAAATATCCATAACACACAATTTGTGAAACGTGTAGGGATTTTTTCTGTCACACTGTATAGTAAATTAGAGGTTTTGCAGAGTGAAGAGCTGAAGAGATTTGAGAATATGTTGCTAACTCCTATGTTTTTAATTATAAGAAACCTTTTATAAATTTCATAAATTTCTGAAAAATAAGTGAATTTTGTGGCATTAGTTAAAAATAGGTACCTGAATTCAATCAAGTAGAAAACTTATTCCATATTATTCCATTCATCATTGATTTCAATACCACGAACAATTCTATCTGCCCGTGGTCTGGTCACAGAATATCTGCCCGTGGTCTGGTCCTCCATGCATGGAGGACGTGCAAAGCTCTAAACCAAGGACCAGCAAACTATAGCCCATAGGCAAAACCTAATACTGCTTGTTATTATATTGCCTATGTGCTTAGAATGGTTTTGCCATTACGAAATAATTAAAAGAAAAGTCAAAAGAACATTTCATTACATATGAAAATTATATGAAATTCTACTTTCAATGTCCATAAAAATTTATCCACAATTGTTTATTGTCTATGGTTGCTTTCATGCTGTAACAGCAGAGTTGAACAGTTGTGACAAAACCATAGAACTACAAAGCCTAAATATTTATTATCTGACCCTTCATAGAAAATTTTGCCACCCCATGGTGAAGATTTTTTTCTTGGTAGATATTTGTTCTTAAAGTCTGTAAGTTTTACTTCACCAGATGCTTCCTCTTGTATCTGGAACTCAGTATTGTCCAAGAACATATTTTACTTATTCAAACATTTGTGGCATTTTCTAGTCAAGATTTTAGTCACTTTCTAGTGGAAATTTAACTCAACTTATTTTCTCTAGGATGTCATCATTACTACAACTAAATAAGTAGAGATTTACTAAGCAATTACGTATCTGTTCTTAAAAAAAACTTTAAAAAAACAACAAAAAAAGCTTTTATATAAATAAGTATTCTGGGTTTCTGTTAATTTCACATAAATTTAAAAATCTCAATCATGACAACAATTAGTTGAATTTAAATCATAAACCCATAGCCAAATACATTATTATTAAATTTTGGCACACCTCTTTAATTCAAAAGCAGGCTTAATTGATTTTTTAATGTAAATCGTAGGGGTCATTACATTTTTAAAAAAATAACAACTTTTACAGGTGATGGAATGAAATCTTTGGCTTCTGAGAAGAATTAGATACACTTTTCCCAATTCCCCCAGGTAAATACTAAAATCCCTGGACCTTATATATAGAACAGACTGAACGGTGGAGAGAATGAAGACTAGTCAAGAAACTTAAAGTGCAAGTAACAACACAGTGGTGAGTTCCCTGGGATTTCCTCTTTCTCTCTTTCTCTTTCTCTCTCTATCTCTTTTTTTTTTTTTTTTCTCGTCACCTAGAGCTAAAGAAGCTGACAACACAGAAACATCAACTGGAACAAGCAAGAAAAGCTCTAACAAAAGTCTATGCTCTCTCTCTCTAGCCATAGGATCAGGAAAGGGGCAGGCAAAACAGACAACTTTCAGTCAATAACTGCTCTATTCCAACCAAACAACAAAGAAACACTTTGGTGTTTTTCCTACTCACGGCACTTGAGCTGGGAGTGTAGACTTTAATGCTACCAGGATATAAGGAGGCAACCTTATCCTACTACTGTGATGGTGCCAGAAAAGCAGCGCAGAGAGCCAGGACGTTCAATTCTAACGATAATAAGGGAGTCTCACCCAATATACAGTGTCAGTGGAGATCAAACATCCCTGCAAGTAACAAAATGTTCCTGGAGGGATGTCAGAGGAGGCCTAGTGGAAAGTCAGTATTTTTATCACCACTAAGCACAAAGCGGGCTTACCTCCTCTGCCTCTTGCCCCCATGGTGTCAATGAAAGCCACCTGGGAGGAGTAATGAGCCATTCTTCTTGCTATCATCCAAGAAACTATCAGTGGAGCTGTAATGGAGAGCCAAAAATCACACACCTGCCAAGAGTAACAAGCAATCACACCCGCTTCAGGTGCCAACAGAAATTGAATGGGTAATCTACATGTCCACTCCTACTTGGCAGTAATGAGGTAGCCTCTTTTCCTTCCCCTGCTACAGCAGCATTGAAGGAAGCTGGCTCAAATATTGGTGTAACCTCCAGAGACTCATGATGTAATTCCTAAAATGCAAAAGTTTCAATGGAAAAATCATACATATTTAAAAAACCCTAAAAATCTCAAACAGAATGAGAAAAGACAATCAATAGATGCTAACACATACAAGACAGAAATGTTAGAATTGTCTGACACAGTAAAAATTTTCAACAGGCAATTGCAAGCACACTTCAAACAAATGAAAAACAAAATAGAAACCCATACTAAAGAAATAGAAAGTCTCAGCAAGAAAATAAAATATATAAAGAAAACCAAGTAGATGTTTTAGAATGAAAAATGCAATAACCAAAATAAAAAACTCAATGAGTAAGCTCAAAAGCAGAATGGAGGTGTCAAAAGGAAAGAACTAGTGAACTGGAATACAAATTGCCCATTCTAAATAATGTCCTGGAAACAGTTATTTCTCTAAGGACCGCATTTTATTTTACTGGAGAATGGTGTTAGAACACAAGATCTATGTCCTACATGTGCTTCTTGCTACTGAAGTGGTGGTTTTATTCCAGATTCTCTTGGTTGACAGAACAAGAAAATATTTGTGTGTATATAGACTTACCAATAAAAATTTCTACATGTAGCCATTTCTGTTTTAAGCTAAACATGAGTTCATTCTGATGTGTCCAATACTAATCAGTTATCACATGGACCATTCTAGCCTCCTCCTCCTGCTTATCTGTAAGGTCATAATTCAGCAGTGAGAAACCTGGCATCCATCTGCCATTGTTCCATTCCAATAGATAGGTACAATGTTTTCAGAATTGTTAACCTATACTCCATGGAAAAGAACTTTACTAGAGTACAGTATGTGTGTACAGTTCACTTAGTGTTATAGATTCATTCATTCTAAAGTTACTTAGGTTATTACTTTATCATGCCCCACCCCCAGAAACATTGTTTCATACATATATGAGACTTTTAAAGTATGTTGTTACATTCTGCATTCTTTCTTGGGATTGCCCAGACAGCTAAATGATTTTTTTTCAATTTGTATACATTAAGGCTTACTGTTTGTGCTGTAAACTTGTATGGGTCTTCACAAGTGCTTAACGTATTGTAGTCACCATTATAGTAAGATATAGAATAATTTCACCATTAAAAAAAATCCTCTGTGCTTCACTTATCCAAACCTACCCCTGTTTACTACACACCCTGCTAACCACTGATCTTTTTACCTTCTCTTTAGTTTTGCCTTTTCCAGAATGTCATATGATTGGAATAACATGATATGTAGCTTTTTTTGCACTGGATTCTTTCACTTAGTAGTGTTGTTTTCTATACATTGACAGAGGCTTCTTTTTCTGCTTTATCTAGTTTTAACTCAGCATTTTATATGATTCCATTGCATCTCTTCTGTCGGTATTTAAATTATACTTCTTCAAACATTTTTATTTGCTGCCCTAAAGTTTACAATATAAATTTTTAAATAATCTTAGTCTACCTTGAAGTAATACTATTTAGTTTCACATATAATGCACATATCTTATTACAGAATGTTCCCAATTACTCCTTCCCATCCCTTGAGACATTGTTGTCATTTTATTATTGAATGCTATGATCACCCAATATATTTTTACCAGTATTACTTTAAATAAACAATTATCTCTTAGATAAATTTAAAAATACTCATACACACTCACCCTTCATTCATTCCTTTTCCAGTGCTCTTCCTTTCTTTACATAAATCTAAGTTTCTGATCTATATAATTTTGCTTTTGCTTAAAGAAATTAACATTTTTTTGCAGGGCAGAACTGCTTGCAATAAATTCTCTGTTTTTCTTTGTCGGGGAAAAGGTTTATTTTTCATTCACTGGGTGAAGAATTCCAGGTTGGTGGGTTTTTTTAAAAAATTTAACAATTTAAATATTTTACTTCTCTTTCTCTCTGTTTTTTATTTTTCATTGATTGATTGATTGATTGATTGATTGATTTTTGGCATGGCTTCTCACAAGAAGCCCACTGTAATTTTCTTTGTTCTATAAGTAAGATGTTTTTCCTACCTATACCTTCTTTATAGATTTTCTTTTTGCCTTTGTTTGTTTTTTTTTTTTTTTTTCTATTTAAGTATCATATACCTCAGTATAGTTCTTACAGCATTTATCTTGTTTGGTGTTCTCTGAGCTTCCTGGATCTATAATATGGTTTCTGTCATTAATTCTGAAAGTTTGCAGCCATTAATTCTCTATATATTTCTTATGCTCCTTTCTCTTTTCCTTCTTAATCTTGTATTCCAATTACATATATGTTATATCTCTTGAAATTATCCCATGGTTTTTAAAATATTCTCAGGGGTTCTTTGGTTTTGCTTTTTTTTCCTGTCTCTCCGAATTTCAGTTTGGAATATTTTCTGTGGATCTAACTTCATGCTCACCTATTCTTTCCTGGGCTGCTTCCAGTCTACTGATGAACTCACTCAATGCATACTTCATTTCTGTTATACTGTTTGCTTATTTTTTAGTATTTTTATTGTTTCTTAATTTTTTCATTTCCTTGCTTATATTTTACATATTTTCTTATATTTTGTCTACTTTTTTGTCAGAGATTTTAATATATTAATCCTATTTTAAATATTTTGAAAGTCTGTCTGATAATTTTAATATCTGTGTCTCATCTGACCCTATTTTTCATGACTGCTTTTCACTGTTTAGTCTGTGTTTTCTCTTTGCCTCTAGTGTGCCTTATAGTTTCTTGTTAAATGTCATACATGTTTCGGGTAATAGGTGCTCAGGTGAATAAGCCTCTATTGTTAGAATTTGTGTTGATTTAGTTAGGAGTTGGGCTTTACTTAATGTTTACCTTGGCTATAGGTGTCAGAGGGTGCATATTCCTCTAATGTCTTTGTTTTTGTCTCCCCTGTTGTCTTTGGGCTGCCTTAAGTATTTCTCTTCAGACAGAGTCTGTGCTTTGAAGGTCTTTTATCTGTAATTCACTATTATGATAATGAAACTTGTTGGTGTGTGGCAAGATGTGGGGCAGGGGAGTGTTTTGTAAATTTCTAGTGTTTTTTAGTGCACCTGTGGTGGTTCTGGCCTAAGACCTTCTTGTTTCTTCTGCATAATTTCTTCCACTCAACCTCCTTAGGTGAGGCAGGAAGAATAATGGGGGCAGAAATGGAAAGAATGTCCTTCTCTCAGAACTCTGGGACAAGACTCTGATAGTCTTCCCTCCTAGAGAGTAGGCCAAGAAAATGAAGAAGCTTCTGGGCATATTGCACAACGATTACTCTTCCCTTTCCCTACCAGAAGCACAGGGGATTTTTCTTGGATCTTCACCTGTGATCCTGGTGGGGTTCCTGAAAGTAAATCTTATAAAAATGTGGATTTTTTTAAGACTGAAGTTTCCAGGTGTTTCTCACTCTTAAATTACACTCAGCTTTTAGCAATCAAAATTATCCTTTAAGTGCCTCTATCAGTTTGGCTCCAGTGACTTCTCCTCCAGGTAAGCAGTTCTGGGCTGTGACTCTCCAGATTCACCTCTCTCCAGATTTCGGAGTGGTGGTTTGCCCGGTGACCTCAATTCTTTGATGGGCCCGAGAAAAGAAAAGTAGAATTTTTCATTTCTACTGTTTTGTCTTGGTCTAAGGATGGGAGTAATGACTGCCAATGCTTTCTGTATTTTAGAAATGAAACTGAAATTTGTGAGAGTAATTTCAATAAAGTAGAATAAAGAAAGGGGAATAAGTTTACCTGAATTCAAGATTCATTATATAGCTAAAGTAACTAAGGCTGTGTGGTATTGATGGAGGGATAGACGCATAGATCAATGGAACAGAATAGGGAATCCAGAAATACAATCAAACAAATATGTCCAAGTGATTTTTGACAAACATTAATAATCAACTCAATGGAGGAAAGATACCCTTTTAACAAATGTTACTTGAGCAATTGACTTCTCTATATGTGTAGAAAATGAACATTGACTTAGGAGTGATATCTTACACAAAATTTAACTCAAAGTAACCCATAGACATAAATGTAAAACATAAAATTATAAAACTCCTACAAAAAAAAACAGCTGAAATTCTTTAGGATCCAGAGCTAAAGAGTTCCAGGATGTAGTAATAAATGTGCCATCCATATAAGGTAAAGTTGCTAAATTAAATTTATCAAAAGTAAAAATTTTGTCCTATGAAAAATCCTTTGAAAAAAGAAAAGTGACAGTTGAATAAAATATTTGCAAACCACATATCTAATTCAAAATGAGTAGCCAAGAATATATAAAGAACTCTCAGAACTCAATAATCCTACTTGGAAGGCTGAAGCATGAGAATTGCTTGAGCCTGGGAGGCTGAGGCTGCAGTGAGCTGAGATCACACCACTACACTCCAGCCTTGCCGACAGAGTGAGACCCTGTCTCAAAAAAACCCAAAAAACAAAAAACAACAACAAAAAAACTCAGCAATCAAAACCAAACAATCCAATTTGAAAATAGGCAAAACACTTGAAGAGGTATTTCACAGAAGATATACAGATAGCAAATAAGCACATGTAAAAATATTCAACAACATTGATTGTTAGGGAAATGCAAATTAAAACGACAATGAGTTATCACTATGTATCTATCATAAGGGATAAAATGAAAAATATTGACAACTAATGTTGGCAAGGATGAGGAGAAACTGGATCACATACACTGCTGATGGAAATGTAAAATATTATAGTCACAATACAGGTAGTTTCTAACTAAAAACTAAAATTAAAAAACTAAACATGCAATTACCATACAGCAAAGCAATTGCACATTTGGGCATTTATTCCAGAGAAATAAAAATTACGTTCTCATAAAAACTCACACACAAATGTTTATAGCAGCTTTATATATAAGACACCAAAAGTAAAAACAATGTAGATATCTTTCTACAGGAAAATGGCTAAAAATCCTGGGACATTTATAGCATGAAATATACTCTGCAATGAAAAGTGAATATTGATAACATGAAATGACCTGGATCAATCTCCAAGGAAATATGCTGAGTGAAAAAAGCCAATTCCAAAAGGCCACATACTGTATGATTCCAGTTAAGTAAAATTCTTGGAGTAACAAAATTAAATAAATAGAAAACAGCTTAGTGGTTTCCAGGGCAAAAGCAAGAGGTGAGTGGGAAGCAGGAGAGGCTTCAAAACGGCAACATGTGGGAGGCTTGTGTTGATGAAAATGTTCTGTAATTTGACTGCATCCATGTCAATATCCTAGGCCAATAATACATTATACTTTCCCCAATAGGAAGAAAAGTAGGCAAAAATTACTCCGGAAGTCTCTGTATTATTTCTTACCACTGCCTGTTAATCTATTATTTCAAAATAAATTGTTTACTTAAAATGATATAGTGAGTCTTTATTTAAAATGTTATAAATATTATAAATGCTCTATTTAAAATAGATGAGAATCATGTAAATAGAATACATTTTCTAAAAAGTAGATGCAATAAGTACTTTTCAAACTATAAATCAGTGCTCTAGAGTTGTACAATATTTTGATATTTTTACTTAAAAATTTAGCAAGGCCTTTTTCCCCCCCAGACTTATATGGTCTTGTGGTATATAAATCAACATGCCCATTTTATAATTTCTCAAGGAGCTATTGTTTATTTCTTCTGAAACCCTAAGGTAAAAGTGCCTTTACATTTTATAACCAGTCACTTTTCTCATTTTACTTTTGAGACCGTATTTTTGTATTTTGTGTTCTCAGTCTAACTCAATGCCTAACACCCAATAAATATATAGAGAAAGAATATAGAATGAAAGGATGAATGAATAAATAGATTAATAAATAAATGTCAAGATAATTTAAATTTATGATAACTTAGATATTATCCAGATGGATGACATTGCACTATTTCTACTTCTCACTAAAGGGAAAATGAGGACTTCCTCTGAAGCATTCACTGCCTTGAAATTTTAAGTTTGTGTGCCACTGAATCCCTTTTATCCAAGGGGAATGATTGCCAGGAAAGTAAGTTGTCATTGTCATTTTATCAGAAGCTATTTTTAGAATGGAAAATGAAATTTGGAATCTTACAGACTTAATATATATCTTCTTTAGGTTCCCAAGTGCACAATTTTGTTTCATATAATAAGTTACAAACTCAGCAGAAAATATAACTGGCTCTAATATATGTAATAACAAATCTAGAAGAACAATGGTATTATTTAAGGATTAATATTAGATCGTTTAAAATGTAGACCTATTAGTTTTTCAGGTACAGTTGTTGGCTACTGGAAGTGTCTAAATCCATGCTGCCCCTCACATTTATGGAGCTCATACAAGCTATCTCTGCCTGAAAACCTCCTCTTTGCTTGATCCCACAGCTGCCTGCTTCTACAGCAGTGGTTGTCAATCTCTACCCCATCTCAGAGAATCACCTGGGGATTTGTTAAAACATAGATTGTTGGGGACCATCTCCAAAATTTCTGATTCAGTAAGTCTTTGACAAAGCCCAAGAATTTGCATCTCTAAGTTCCCAGGTGATGCTGATGCTTCTGGTCCAGAGACCTCACTGTTAGTCGATCTGCTTCAGGTAGCATTTTCTAAGTGTGGAACTCACATTTGTTCAATACTGAATGAGTGCTCAATAAAAATACCTAGTTTTGTGATATCTGCCTATAAGATTCATTAAACAAGTATTTATGAAAATTCTGTTTAACATACTGTTTTTATTATGAAAAACTTTTTTAAAAAAAATTCACAACTGTGAAAACCTGGAAAGTGTTTGACAATCCCAAAACTCAAGGGCTCATAATTTTAAATTACCCAGAGAAGCAGCATTCCTTAACTGTCCAATATTTTGGTATGATTTCTATTGGTCTATATATTATTTAATATTGGCCCTAGTAAAATAATCATTTCTTAATTCTATTAATTTGATATTTTTGTTTATTATAAAACACACAATATTATTAATCAAGTTTTTATCCTTTTTTCACACGTATACTTACCCATTTTTTTCTGTCCAACTATTTCAAGTATTAGAGCCCAGAAGTTCTATTGGATGGTCCACTGATACACTGTGAATTACCGCATGCTATATAATCACATAATTCTGAAAAAGCCATTCTAAAGCACTTTATCCTATTCTATTCTAATATAATCTCTGAAAAGGTAAACTGATTCAGTACACAAATTAGAATATATTTTCAAGATCAGCAAATTAACACTTCATTGAATTAGTTCTCATAGCATTTCTATTTCTGTTTATTAATAAGAACACTTTTTAAAAAGTGTGATTCTTAAATATACAATAAACTTAGGTCATATTCATTTAGACACAGGCATTTATTTTTGCCTGTAAGGTGCATTTTATTTTATTCTGTTCAATAAGAATTCCTGTGAAGTCTCTCAGTGTAAACCAAGATGTGGCAATATTCCAAAAGCTTTTAAAGTGCCTTTCTAAAATATTGGCAGAAGACTATGGATTTGGGTTTTTTTCTTTTTTTTTGATTGCTTGTTGCATTTTTCCGTCATTCTTTTGTCTCCCTTCTTGTCTTTGGAGGATATTTGTTTGAAAACAATTCTGGGGTTTGCCTGGAGTGCTGTGAAGCAATTGGTGGTGACAGGGAATTCCATCCTGTTTTAATGGGAATTGTTTATGATGAGGTAATTTACACTTGAAGTGGTCAGAGGAGAGCCAGGCCTATAATTAGTGGGAGGAACATTTATCTCCCAGCAGCACAGTTCTCCCCATGGGCAGAACCCTGAAGCCAGGCAAGGACAGATGTAAACACTCTTCTCCAAGTTGGCAAAGGCTGAACATGGAATTGTTTGAGTCCAGGTAATTGTTGCCAGGGCAGTTGGCCAGGGATAGGCTAGAAAAAGCCAGTCAATATACAGCTGCCTACCATCCTGCTTTTAAGTAGTTTGCATCAGATCTCTGTGCCTTGACTTTCTGTGTATGAACAAGTCCCAGTACTTGGTATGATTTGAAATCATTTTAAGAGTAAACAATTTTCTGGGACAAGCATAGTAACATGGTGTGTCCTCACCCAAATTTCATCTTGAATTGTAGTTTCCATTATCCCCATGTGTCTTGGGAGGGACCCAGTGAGAGGTAAATGGATCATGGGGGCGGTTATCCTCATGCTGTTCTCCTGATAGTGAGTGAGTTCTCAAGAGAGCTGACGGTTTTATAAGGGGCTTTTCCTCCTTTGCCTTGCACGTCTCTCTCTCCTGCCACCTAGTGAAGAAGGACCTGTTTACTTCCCCTTCTGCAGTAATTCTAAGTTTCCTGAGGATTCCCCATCCCTGCAGAACTATAACTTAATTGAATCTCTTTCGTTTGTAAATTGCCCAGTCTCGGGTCTTTCTTCATAGCAGCATGAGAAGGGACTGATAAATTGCTACTGGGTAGTGGGGCAGTGCTGTAAAGATACCCAAAAATGTGAAAGTGACTTTGGAACTGGATAGCAGGCATAGGTTGGAATAGTTTGGAGGGCTCAGAAGAAGACAGGAAAATGTGGGAAAGTTTGGAACTTCCTAGAGACTCAGAGGGCTCAGAAGAAGGCAGAAAGATGTGAAAAAGTCTGGAACTTCCTAGAGACTAGTTGAATGGCTTTAAAAAATATTCTGATAGTGATATGGACAATGAAGTCCAGGCTGACCTGGTCTCAGATGAAGATGAGGTTCTTTTTGGGAACTAGAGTAAACGTCACTCTTGTTATACTTTAGCAAAGAGACTGACAGCTTTTTACTCCTGTTCTAGAGATCTGTGAATCTTTGAACTTGAGAGAGATTATTTAAGGTATCTGGTTGAAGAATTTCTAAGCAGCAAAATATTCAAGAGGTGGCAGAGCATAAAAATTTGGAAAATGTGCAGCCTGATGATGCAGTAGAAAAGAGAAACTTACTTTCTGGGGAAAAAATTAGGCTAACTACAGAAATTTGCATAAGTAACAAAGAACCAAATGTTAATTTGCAAAGACAATGGGGGAAAATGTTTCCCTAGGGCATGTCAGAGAACTTTGAAGCAGTCCCTCCCATCACAGGCCCTGAGGCCTAGGAGAGACAAATGGTTTACTGGGCTGGGCCCAGGCCCCCCTGCTGTGTGCAGTCTCTGACTTGGTGTCCTGCATCCCAGCCTCTCCAGCAATGGGTAAAAGGGGACAAAGTACAGCTCAGGCTGTGGCTTCAGAGGGTGCAAGCCTCATCCCTGGCAGCTTCCACATGGTGTTGGGCTGGAGGGTGCACAGAAGACAAGAATTGAGGCTTGGGGACCTCTGCCTAGATTTCAGAGGATGTATGGAAATGCCTGGATGTCCAGGCAGAAGTTTGCTGCAGGGGCAGATCCCTCTGCAGACCCTCTATTAGGGCAATGAAGAGGGGAAATGTGGGGTTGGAGCCCCCACACAGAGTCCCTACTGGAGCACTGCCTAATGAAGCTGTAAGAAGAAGGCCACCATTCTCTAGACCCCAGAATGGTAGATCCACTGACAACTTGTACCACATATCTAGAAAAGCTGCAGACACTCACTGCCAGCCTGTGAAAGCAGCTGGGAGTGGGGGCTGTACCCTGCAAAGCCACAGAAGCAGGGCTGCCCAAGGCCTTGGGAGCCCACCTCTTGCATCAGCATGACTTGGATATGAGACCTGGAGTCAAAAGAAGTCATTTTGGAACTTTAGGGTTTAATGAATGCCCTATTGAACTTTGCACTCTCATGGGGCCTATAGCCCTTTTGTTTTGACCAATTTCTCTCATTTGGAATGGCGGTATTTATCCAATTCCTGTACCCCCATTGTATGTAGGAAGTAACTAACTTGCTTTTGATTTTACAGGCTAATATGCAGAAGGGACTTGCCTTGTCTCAGATGGGACTTTGGACTTGCACTTTCGGGTTAATGCTAGAATGAGCTAAGGCTTTGGGGGACTGTTGGAAAGTCATTATTGTGCTTTGAAATGTGAGGATATGAGATTTGGGAAGGGCCAGGGTTTGAAATGATATGGTTTGGCTGTGTCCTCACCCAAATCTCATCTTGAATTGTAGTTCTCATAATCCACTTGTCTCTTGTGAGGAACTCAGTGGGAGGTAATTGAATCATGGCGACAATTACCCCCCTATAGTTCTCGTGATGGTGAGTGAGTTCTCATGAGATCTGATGACTTTATAAGGGGCTTTTTCCCTGCTTTGCTCAGCACTTCTCTCTCTACTGCCGCCTTGTGAAAAAGGACATGTTTGCTTCCCCTTCCACAATGACTGTAAGTTCCCTGAGGCCTCCCTAGCACTGCAGAACTGTGAGTCAATTAAACTTCTTTCCTTTATAAAGTACCCAGTCTTGGGTATTTCTACATAGGAGCATGAGAACAGACTAATACATGTAGTATATTTTTCAAGTTATCACAGGAAGTTCATCTGGCTAGAAGTCTTTATGCCATTGGTTCTCATTTTTATCTCAAATTATGTGTAAAGAAAATCTACCTTTTCTCCTATGAAAATTGCTTATCATTGTTATTGTGATGTAAGTTACATCTTTAGAGCATAAAATTGTACTGATTGGCTCTGGAACTGTAGAACATAGAAGGAGAAGGAAGGGAGAAAAAAGCAACAAAGCTAAGAAGGATAGAGAAAGAAAAAAAGAGAAGCTGATTTCTCTGAAGAGCCAAAACCCAGAGAACATAATTTTTTGATGAAGAACAAATTTAAAATACTAACTCTTGCAAAAATGTCTAGAACTGTGATTGACACATTTTGTCATCTGCAGTTAATACTAAAATATTTGTTACCTCCTCTTCTTCTAGTAAAGATGGAACATGGTTGGTGAGTGCTGCACATGAAGGTTAGTGAATGGCAAAGTGTGAGACCCAACTCTGTCTACTTTCCAGTTAGTTTTTCACTATGTATGTGTAGAAAAATATTTTTCCTAGAATGCAAATGTAGAATCCTCAAAACACATAAATATGTTTCTGGCTACAACCATTCACAACATCCTCAAGCAAGTATCACAGCAAAAATAGAAAATTTTGTGATAAATTTCCTAAAGAGAAAACTAATTAATTTAGTTGACATCAGAGTTTACAGCTTTGTAGAAAAGAGATTGCCTGAGTTATGTGCCTTTGTGCTTAAATTGATACTAGAAGTAACTAATTGTTAGTAGTATAGGCTATCATTTCACACACAAACTCACACATATTATCCCACACATAAAAGGAGGTTCGCCTACAGACCCACAAAAAGGATGTGGCAATTCTATTTTCCTAAAGTGTTCAAGGAAATATTTCTGGACCCACTTATTCCTCCAGAACCTTGCCATCAACAGATGGAATGTACGTTCCCTTCCCTTTCTCCTGTGCAGGACTTTGTGGCTATCTTGACAAAAAGAATGATGCAAAAGAGATGTTATGTAAGTGAGACCAAGTCTTAAAGTCTCATGGCAATTGCCTAACTCTCTCTCTCTCTCATGTGTGCCTTCCTATGATTTTATCCTCTGACTTTGCATCTTCCAGTGAAACTCCAGGTCTCCTGGAGCAGAGAAAACCCACCCCTGCTGTAATTCATCCAAATTTCTGACACACAGAATTCATGATCATAATAAATGTTTGTTTTACACCACTAAGTTTAGGAGTAATTTGTTTTATAATTAGTTCCTCATACGAGAGGCAATGGAGTTGTGGCTTCTATATAGTTGATTTATGTGCCTAAAAAGCCTAGATAAGAAGAGCTGGGATTTTTTCACATTGGAAAATGCAGTCTCTGAAAGGAACGACAATAATCTAAATGGTCACAGTTACTGGCTTTATGGTTGAACTAAGAAATAACTAAGAAATCATTGAGCCTAAAATCTTCCCAGTACATGTGTTTATCTAGACTCCAAGGAATGCAAGAGCTGAGAAATGTGCTCTGGTTGATGTTCAAAAATTGATTTTTGCTGGAATTCCTATAAAATTCAAACAAAACCTAGTTATATGATGGAAGGGTTTATTCAAAGCTGGGAAACTTTTTAGCCAACTTCCACGCCCCCAAACACAGCCCCTTAATACCTTGCATAATTGATGACTTATAAGAATATGCATTACATTTTCTAAGAAAATACTTGTTTTACTGTGCCTTTGACTCCAGATGTCTAATCCTTTAGTATTCCTCTGTAACATAATAAACTTACTCATTTTTTAAAGACTAACTAAAATCTCACAAGGTTAAGGAAGTGGGCAAAAATGACAGTTACCATTCCAAGTATGTTAGAATCTTTATCTCGGGCTCATAAAATCTGGGAAAATTTTCTATTCTTCAGGTGTTCAATGATTGGAAAGATCACCTGAACACATGGGGAAGACCATTGCCCTTTAATTTAACAGGAAATCATTGCTGCACTATTGTTTCTGGTCTAATGAATTCACTTTATAAAATCCCATATGTAGATCTCACTCTTCAATGCATAACCCATTAAATAACATTTCTCAGAATCCTTTTATTTTATTCTATTAAAAAATTTATCCTAGCTAAAGTATTCTTTATTAACTTAGTAGCATAAAAAGTATCTTATTATTTTCTTCTAATAGTTAGAGTAAAAAATAACCAACTAGAGTGTTTCAGGGTGAGGAAACAAAACAAATAGTGATGGTGATGAGATAAATAGGAAATTCCAAAGAGAGAATTGATTTGAATTAAAAAAGCTTGTGACTTAGATTTACACATTTTATGGTTGATGTTTATCTAGAATTATCTAGAAGAAACAGATAGGAAACTGAAATCAAGGAGAGTTCAAGGACTGAACCGTTGTTTTGAATTTTTCTCTGTAGAAATCATGGCTGAAAATCACTAAAATGAGTTAGCTCTCCTCGGGAGAGTGTAGGCAATAAGAATATAATTTGCCTATGTATTAACTAGGATGTATTTCCAACTGTCTTCAATTTATTTAAATGTTTTATTATTATTTAATTCCAAGTGTGGTTTTGTCTATTTATATGTATTAATCTGCTACTACTATTCAAATTATCCTGAAGTTTCAGACATCAGAAAAATGAGTTACTCATTACAAAACATTTGTTACAAGACCAAATCCACTAAGAAGGTAAGAAAATTTTTATAAGCACTTGACTTTTTTATTATTTTGAACTCCTGCTAAAATGCCTCAAATTAAAAATAGGTATTCTGTATATTGGACACATACTCTGCCCAAGGCACTGTCCTAATCACTGGGAATACAGTGCAGAATTAAACATATATAAACTTCTGCCTTCACAAAACTCATATTTTATTGCAGATGGAGAGGGATGGAGACACAGAATAAACACAAAACTACTATAAATATATTACATGTCCAATGTTGTTATATGCTATGGAAAAAAAAGAGAGAATTTCCCAGAATAACTGAGCATTTGTCTGTGCTTTCTGGATTATCTACAGCTTTGGATAATTTGTATCATTCAAAATTTCCACTGATGCAAGTAATGAGAAGATTTTAGACATATACTTCCCAAAAAATGGAGCAATACATTGGGGTGCATGTAACTCAGGGATTTACAACTTTTCAGCATCTGTCTACCTCTATACTGCAGGAGTGTGAAAGAAGAAGGGAGCATAGTGGGAAAAAAACAAAGGGCACTAGACAATGGGGAACATCTTCCAATCAGAACTATCTCCCTCATGTAGCCCACCAACCAGAAATTCACTGTGGATTAAGTACATCTTTTCAAATGCAAATAACCCTTGACAAGATTAAACACTGCCTTTGGAGTCAAATATGCCTGGGCTTGAATCCTGGCTCTGCCATAATTTACTACTCATGTGACCTTGGGGAAGTAGCTATTATTTATCAATTGATTTTTACAGAGACTTGCTCACTTCGATATAATGAAAAATACCTACTGGTGTTGATTAACTGCAAATAGAATTTCTCTCTCTAAACTACACACTATTTTAAAAATACTAATACCATTTTCTCCTCCTGCTCCTTTCTCTCTCTTTCTCTGTGACAATTACACACGGATACACATACAGAGCAGTCCTTTCTGAGACGATTACATCACTTTATTCACTTTATTTTGAGATAGAAATCTTTCATTCATAATTTCATCTCATCAGCTATAATTTATTGATCATCTACCACATGGCAGTCAGTATCATGCACTCTTAGTATATACCAGCATACAAAACAGGAAGTGGTTCCTGCGTTCATGGAGCTTGGGATGAAGATGATAAATAAGATACATAATAGATACTTCAACTATAGAAAATTTGAGGGTAATAAACACTTTGAAAATAGAATAAGTGGGATACAGCATGCAGGGCAGTGTTAATTGTAAATGAGTTGTTTGTGAAAGGTCTCCTTGAGAAAGTGACATTTGAGTACAGATTTAAAGAAGGCAAAGAAATAAATCAAATATCTAACTGCAGGAAAAGCATTCTAGGGAGAACAAACAGGAAATCCAAAGGGCTCCAGTGGGTGCACCCTGGCATGCACAAAGAACAGTCAAGAAGTCAGTGTAGGCACAGAAGAGGCAGAAAGATGGAGAGAATAATAGGTTCATGGGTGTGCAACTAGTATAGTCACATGGGCCCCTGTACCCAGAAGGGCTCTGAGCTTGGAATTGATTATTCTGTGGCCATATTTTCAAAATTAATCTTATATATATATATATGATTTTTGAAACGGAGTCTCGCTCTGTCGCCCAGTCTGGAGTGCAGTGGCGCGATCTCGGCTCACTGCAAGCTCCACCTCCCAGGTTCTCGCCATTCTCCTGCCTCAGCCTCCCGAGTAGCTGGCACTACAGGCGCCCGCCACAACGCCTGGCTAATTTTTTGTATTTTTAGTAGAGACGGGGTTTCACCGTGTTAGCCAGGATGGTCTTGATCTCCTGATCTCGTGATCTCCCCACCTCGGCCTCCCGAAGTGCTGGGATTACAGGTGTGAGCCACAGCACCCGGCCCTAAATTAATAATATTTTTTTTTCAAAATCTTTGAATTTGTGTAAGTGTACTCTCATGAGACAAGCATTTGAGGCAGCTTGAGGTTTAGGATATGTGCGATCCTTCCAGGGCCTCCCTGACTTCTCTGCCTGTCCCCCACCCACTGGGGGCCTGGCTGGGTGCCTGTATAGAGGTGTAGGAAGGGCCAGGGTTAGGCATGCATGATCCAAGATGTCTCAAGGTGGAATATAGCTGTGGTCATCCCTCTCAAGACTGAATTTCATAGGTGACTTGGTGGGGGAAATCTCTCACCCTTCCCAGATCCAGATATCTATGGCATCCTGATACAGAGTTGGCAATACACTTAGCATTTGCTCATCTGCTGTGGGTAGGGGTTGCTGGTGTGTGGGAAGGGGAGATACCTGGCTGGACTTCCTTGTTCCCAGCTAGTGTATAGCCTCTGGGTCCTGCAGCTTGTGGGGAGGGGAGAAGGCTATCTCAAGAGCCAGTGAGCACTGCAGCCCATGTGTGCACAGAGTAATGGGGCACGCCCCAGGTCCCTGCGAAGTCCTTCTCTTGGAACACTCATGATAGCTACGGGAGCACCAGATTAAATAGCAATTTAAAAACAGCATGACTAGTTGAAAGAGACTATGAAAGAAGGGAAAAACAACTATATTTTGTACGTTTGAGCGGTGGTAGAAAAGCAGGAAAAGGGGCCCTGCATTTTCGTTTTGCGCTAAGCTCCACAAATTAATAGGTTGGTGCAAAAGTAATCATGGTTTTTGCCATTACTTTTGCACCAACCTTAATAGGTAGCCAATTCTGCACAGAGGTAAGGGAGGGCCAGATTATTTAGGACCTTATATTCAGAGGTCATTCCGACATAGGTGAGAAGATAACAGCTCAGAAGAGGTAAGGAGGGAGCTGATGAGAATTTGAGAAATTGATGAATTCAGGATAGAGGCAATTTGAGGTGGGATTAAGGCAATATGCTGATGGATTGAGTTATTCTATGGTTTACATTGGTATATATAATTTCTAAAATGCAATGAGCTGTAGGCTCATGATCTATTTATATTACCACATGAAAATTATGCCTCAATAAAAATAAAAATAAAAACAAAAGCATCGTGTAGAACAGTTTTATGGTATGCCCCCATGTGTGAAGAAAATAAAGGATGGACGTGCTTTCTCCTTTAGATAAATGTACCTAAATAATAATTTCTGGAAGAATACACAAAATGTAATATAGTGATGTTAATCTGTTCAGTGGCTGGGTCAGAAAATGAACCGAAAAAGAGAATTATTCTCTAAAGGTATTTTTAGAACTTCTAAATTTTTTAACAATGTAAAATACTGCCTAATGCTATAGGTCGGATGTTTGTCCCCCCAAACCTCATGTTAAAATTTGATTTCAAATGTCGGAGGTGGGGCCTAATGGGAAGTGTTTGGTCATGGAGATAGAGCCCTTATGAATGGCTTGATGCCATCCTCACAGCAATGAGTGAGTTTGTACTCTGTTAGTTCCCGTGAGAGCTGATTGTTTAAAAGAGGCTGGCACTTCCTTCCTCCCTTGCTTTCTTTCTTACTATGTGATCTCTGTACACTCTGGCTCCCCTTTCCCTGCTGCCAAGAGTAGAAGCTGCCTGAGGCCCTCACCAGATGCCCAATCTTGAGTTCTTCCAGACATCAAAATCTTCAGTCAAATAAACCATTTTTCTTCATAAGCTACCCAGTTTTAGGTATTTCTTTATAGCAATAAAATAGGGACCAAGACGTCTAATAAACTGCTAAATATATTTTAAAGTTAATTTATGTGTTTTGTGCAGATTTCAAGTTTACATCATCTAGTGAAAGAAAATAAAATATTTTTAAGCAATTTCAATAGCAAAAAAACAAACAAAAAAATGCCTGTTCTGGACTAGCACAAGGTATTAGCAGTAAGGTTCTCTGGTGTTGTGAACCCAGGAAATTCATAATATCTTTCTTCTTAAATGTCACTTTTGAAAAAAGAGGCAATGAAGCTTTAATCAAGTATAAGCCAGGAGAATCAGAAAGTCCCATTCTGTCTTTGGCAAAATTCGAAGAGAACCATAAAGGAGTAATTTTCCAAGAATAATAGCAAATGGAAATAAATAAGTATAATAGGGACCACTCACCACCCAAGGAAGAAAAATATTTGGCTTATGTTAACAAAAGCAAGTAGCAAGTGCTGGGGTACAGAATAACAGCACCATCTGTTCTGCCAGGAACAGACACCTTGTCTGTCACTTGGGCTAACTACAGTCATCTCTCTATTGCTCTTCCCACATTTACACTTGCTGAGGCTGAACTATTCACCACCACACCACAAGGAACATTTTAAAACTATAAAGCAGATCATTTCACTGTCTTGCCTAAATCCCTTCCAAAGTGTCAACATGGTCAACAGGGATCTGGCCCATGTCTGTCTCTACATCTCCACCTTTGTCACATCTTTAGCACCACCTAGGCACATTGGCCTTGGTCATCTTTTTCTTGCCTCAGAGTCTTTGCATACAGCGTTCTTTCTATATCTAGTTCTCTTCTTTCTATAATGCTTTCCCTGGCTGTATTTGTTTATTTGGGCTGCTATTACAAAAATATCACAGACTGAATGGCTTATAAAGAACAGAAATTTATTTTTCACAGTTCTGGAAGCTGAAGTCCAAGATCAAAACACTGGCAGATTTGGTGTCTGGTGGGGGCCTGCTTCCTGGTCATAGGCTACTGTCTTCCTGCTGTGTTCTCACACGGTAGACATGGCAAAAGGGATCTCTGGGCTAATCTCATTCATGAGGGCTCCACCCTCATGACCTAATCACCCCCCAAAGACCCACCTCCTAACATTATCACCTCGGAAGTTAGGATTTCAACCTATGGATTTTGAGAGGACACAAATATTCAGTCCATAGCACTTGTTAAATCCCAGTCACACCTCAAGCCTCAAGAAATATCATTTTCTCAGAGAGGCCTTCCACGATATTCTGATCTAGCCTAGTAGCCTTTTATTTTTTATTTTTATTTTTTTAAGAGATAGAGTCTCATTCTGTCACCTAGGCTGGGGTATAGTGGTACAGTCATAGCTCACTGCAGCCTCAAACTCCTGGGCTCAAGCAATACTTTCACCTCAGCCTTCCAAGTAGCTAGGACTACAGGCACAAACTACTATGTCTGGCTGATTTTTATTTTCTGTATAGATTGGGTCTCACTATGTTGTTCAGGCTGGTCTTGAACTCCTGGCATTCAGCAATCCTCCTGCCTCTGTCTCCCAAAGAGCTGGGATTATACAGACTCTAGTGGCCTATTATATTCTCTCCTCACAGCCTTTACTTTTACAAAATGATACTTATCATAATTTATAATTTTGTAATTATTTATTTAGCTTCTGTCCCCCTGAGGGTACTGTTGACACTACCATTATAGGACCTATGTCTGTTTTATTCAGCACTGTTTTTCCAACATCCAGCTCAGTGTCTGATACAGAGAAGCTCAATTAATAGTTGTTAAATTACTTATAACACAGCATCAGCCTCACCTCTTTCCTTTCTAAAGTTCCTTTATTGCGATGAGCGTTGTTAACTGTCAGCCAACTATAACAGCCACATAAGTACTTTTTTTTTGAGACAGGGTCTTGCTCTATTGCCCAGGCTGGAGTGCAGTGGTGTCATCATGGCTTACTGCAACTTCGAACTCCCAGGGCTAAAGCTATCCTCCTGCCTCAGCCTCCAGAGTAGCTGGGACTAGAGGGATGAACCACCATGCCCAGGTAATTTTTTAATTTTTAGTAAAGGTCGGGTCTCACTATCTTTCCCTGCTCAGCTGGTCTGGAACTCCTGGGTTCAAGTGATCTTCCCACCTCAGCCTCCCAAAGTGCTGGGATTAAAGAAGTAAACTACCACACTCAGCCACACATAGGTAATTTAAAATATTTCCATAGTCACAATTAAAAACACATATAAATAGGTAAAATTAATAACATTTTATTTAACCCAATATATTAAAATATTTCCACTTTAAAAAGAGATTAATACAGCAATTATTAATGAGATAATTCATGTCTTATTTTCATACAAAGTCTCTGAAATTCTGTGCATTCTTTACACTTACAAAACACCTCCATTTGAACTAGGCACATTTTAAGTGCCTGTGTAGTTAGTGGGTACCACATTGGACAGAGCAATAGCTAGAATCTTTGGGATAAAGACATTTGTCTCATATCTGCCTAGGGCCATTGATTTGAGAGCTCATTTTCTGATCACATGCCCCTCCCTACTGTTTCTACCTCCCATGAACTGCCTCTCATTTCATGCTGATCACTAAATAGATGTTAGTCCTTAACAGGATGAAGCCACCCTCCCTCTGGGGCCTCAGGTTCCAGATGTAAGCAAGGTAATTTTATTTTTCCCTGTCTTTTCTACAGGCCACTATGTAAGTCTATGTATACATATCCTTTAATGAAAAGGGAGAGAATGACAATCAGGAGGCTGCGACTAGTTTGTTCAAAGTTCGAGTTGATAAGTTACTCATACAAAAGGATAAGCTTAATATTCCCTAAGACTGCTGCCTATTCCCATCTCAGCCCTTAAAATGTAATAGAAAAACACAGGCAAAAATAGCAAACTCTTCAAAAAGACCCTCCATGAATGCTTAAAACAGATCTTGACTCCACTTTCCTGACCCTGGACCCACTCTTGTCTCTGAGAATATTTCCCTCTCTAAGTCCACAAGGTACATCTCCACTGTTCTTTAGGAAAATTACACCCTCATACCTGGGCTTTAAATCAATAGTTCTCAAGGCAGAAAATAACACCCATTGAAGTATGTTTTGGAAATTCGTAGAAGCATTTTGGGTTGTTACATTACTGCCATATAGGGGCAAAAGCTGAGGATGCTAGAATTCCTGCAATGTATAATTGGAAAAGAATTGCCCTGATTTAGCAGATTTTCGAATGACTGACTGAAGATTCATGTAGGCATGTAGATGAAGAACAATGTGTACATAGAAAGAAGTGACATTAAAAAAAAAATTTGAGACATGGTCTCACTCTGTCATCCAGGCTGGAGTGCAGTGGCACCATCACAGCTCACTGCAGCCTCAACCTCGTGGGCATAAGTTATCTCAGTCCCCTGGGACTAGAAGCACAGGTCACCACAACTGGGTGATTTTTTTTTTTTTTTTTGATAGAGAAGTAGTCTTACTATGTTACCCAGGCTAAGAAGTGACATTTTTAATTAAAGGAAGGAATACTATATTAAAAATGGTGAATGCGTTTTTATACTTTATAAAACACTGTGGAAAACAGTTCCTCAGCAACATTTTAGTTTATAATCAAGTTTAAAATGAATTTCATATAGAACCTCCATAAGACTGAACAAAAAATAATAAATACATAAAATGAGGTTTATATTAATATTGATGAACTTCCCCTTTTTCCAATTTTCTGGCTTATATGTCTGTCTCAGAAAAGGGACAATAAAGAATCAAGAACATGAATTGTTCAAACAAGCAGTTGAGTGGTGCAGGGTGGAAAGGACCCAAGTTGATTCATTTTTGCATTACACATATACACACACAAGATTTTTTTAATTCATTGTATGACTTTCCAGATTTTCAACTAATCATTCTCTTGCAGTAGGTGAACATACAGGAAATCTCTGTGTTGCTTTTGTATGATTTGAAATACAAAATTTGTAAATAAATTCACAATGTATTTGACATAAAACTGCCATCTTCCTATTTATAGCAATAGATGAGAAGAAGCGTTTGGGTGTGTGTGAAACTCTAAGCAGTTTGTCAGAGCAAGGCATCCTTTTGTAGAGCAATTTTCACACCTGAGAAGAACACCAAGTTCAATGGCTATTTCAGTGACAGCCAGGGGTAGGGTAGAAAAGGCAGCAAGCAGGAAAACAAGAGGGATTGTTGTAACTCACTAAGTTAATTCTCTGAATTTCACCCACCGGGTAGAGGCAAGAAAGGAGCCTACTATTCTAAATTTTCTCATAGCCCATTCTGCACCATATTCCTCTGGCCTACTTAAGCTAGAGTGTAGGCCGTTAATATATGGCAGGATGGCCCCTTTACTGGCTTTCTGCATGCATGTGCAGCATGGACGCAATGCCGATGTCACCTGTGTGCTTCGAGCTTCTGTTGCACATCATGCTGTTCAGAGGACAGGGGCTGGAAATTGAAAAGAAGGCCATAAAGCAGCAAGATGTCAATATTATGACTCCATAGAGCCTGCTAGCCATACGGCTCTCTTAGCACCCAGAACTCACACATGTGTGCTCACACTAGCCCATTGTTTCCATGGGTCCTCATTATTTCACAGGGTTTTCCTTCGATGTGTGTGTAATGACAGAAGCTTCAGTTTTCCACAACCTTTCAAATGTATCAAATGCATTATAGAAACTGTTGAGAAATCTTAATTATAGAAGCTAGTGCTTATTTGTTTTTGTTTTTAAAAATTGCAGCTAAGTAGCAATAAAAATGTTGTAAGTAGATAACTCAAGTGAACCAGAATAGAAGACCATGAAGAGAGGCCTGGGATCATGGAAACTTTGATGGTTAGAGCTAAAAAGGAGCTAAATATTATCTAAGCAATGTTACCTTTTCATGGCCACAAACCATGAAATTTAAAGAAGACAAAAGATTTGCCCAAGATATTCAGGATCATGAGGTGTAGTATGGATGAGACTAGAACTTAGACCATGGTACTCCTCCCCCAGTTCCATGTCTAACCTAGCAGAAACATATGGATACTAAAGGCTAATGCTATTTTGAAGGAAGAAATAGCAGGCAATAACATTGTGGAGGCTGCTGTTATAGTATCCATCTCATGGTTATGCCACATGTGGATGATCTTTCACCATGGCATAGGAAGTAGGCTTAAGTCTTCTAACATTAATGTTTCAACAACCCCATATTCATTTTAAATAATATTAAGTGATAGTAAAGTTCCAAGAGTATTAGAAAATTTTAAAAATATCAATAATTATAAGAGAATAACTCATATTTGTGTATGTAATTCATTCAGACCATGATATTTGATATTTGTAATTGTATTAATAAACATTACCCATGTAATATATAAATATATTTTTTTGACAAAATTGTTCCAGTTTGATGCATTTACCTCATTACTCTTTTTAAAGGAAATAAGAGTATATAAGCATACATAACAATATTAGATAATATATAAAGATTACAAGAAATCCACTATTCCATATCTAATTTCATACATTTGGATTAAATAACAATAAATCATGTCTTACTTGCAAGAGAAGATCCTATACACTTTAACTGTCTCTTTAAGTTTGCAAAATTCATACTGATCTAAAGTTCCTTTGAACACCAATATGATAGATACATTCATATAGAATATAGAGAGTTTTGGCTGGGCGCAGTGGCTCACACCTGTAATCCCAGCACTTTGGGAGGCCGAGGCAGGTGGATCACGAGGTCAGGAGATCGAGACCATCCTGGCTAACTTGGTGAAACTCCCATCTCTACTAAAAATACAAAAAATTAGCTGGGCGTGGTGGCGGGCGCCTGTAGTCCCAGCTACTGAGGCAGGAGAATGGCATGAACCTGGGAGGTGGAGCTTGCAGTGAGCCAGAGATTGTGCCACTGCACTCCCGCCTGGGTGATAGAGTGAGACTCCTTCTCAAAAAAAAAAAAAAAAAAAAAAAAAGAAAAGAATAAAGAGAGTATTTTTCCAGCTTTACTGAGGTATGGTTGACAAATTAAAATTATATCTATTTAAGGTATACAATGTGGTAATTTGATATGCATGTACATTTGAAATAATTACTGCAATCAAGCTAATTAGCACATTTATCCCCAGATAGTTATTGTGTGTGTGTGTGTGTCTGTGTGTGTGTATGTTTGTGTGGTGAGAGTATTTAAGATATATTTTCAGCAAATTTAAGCTATATATTAACTATGGTTAATAATGTAAATGTATCATGCTGTACATTCGATCGCCAGAATTTATTCATTTGGCATAACTGATAGTTTATACTGTTTGACCAACCTCTTCCCTTTCCCTTAAGCCTCAGCCCCTGGTAACCACGATTCTACTGTTTCTGAGTTGGACTATTTTAGATTCCACATAAAAATGACATCATGCAGTATTTGTCTTTCTGTGTTTGGTTTATTTCGTTTAGTATGTCTTCCAAGTTTATTCTTATTGTCACAAATGCCAGGATTTACTACAAAGACAAGTTTTAGATGTATAAATCCTACTTTATTAGGGCTTCCAAATGTTGGAACTGGATATATAACATATATTAAATTTTTGATGTGCCTTGGTTTCCAAATGCAGCTCCAAAGGGCTGCATTTTCATAATTCAAAATAATGCAATTTGGAAGCTTCCACGAACTCTTTGATATTATTTGTTCAAGAATAACTACCAAACAGCCTTCAGTTTCAGAGGTTAACATTTTTTTTCTTATTTCTATTTCTATAAAAACTTAAGAACAAATCTCCACTTACATTTACTACCAGTCATACTCCTTGTTCATCTGGGAGGCATGGAACATAACAGAGCATATGCTCAATTTCATGGGAGAGAGAAAATTGTAAATACGGCAATCACACTATAAAAATGCAGCTAAAAAATCTTTTTCTGTAGTTTAACTTTACAAAAAGACTAGCTATTTGGGTGGTGTTAAGGAGGTTATTTTATTTTGTGTCTTCTAAAGAAAACACCCAGTAATTTGTTCTGAGTAATTATTTTCCTCTTGGTCTACCCAGCTAAAACACAAGATACAGAGTTTTCTTTTGCAATGTATATATCTCCAGTTTTTAGGATACAAATTATTTTGGATTATGTGTATATGTGTCTGTATTTATTTTTAATGCCTCGGTTAAACAAGCTGAGATTGATTTAGGAAAACAAATGCTGAATAAGGATAACAACTATTCAGTTGACAACATGCACTCAAGAGACACTTTCCGAGCTGTCTACACCTCACCAGGCAGGGAATTTTCCAGGCCTTATGAAACAATTGTAGCGTGTGGGCCTCATAATCACTGCAGCACAGCTGCTCAGCCACCATAATCTGATATTTTTCTTCCTCCTTGGTTTGGGCTTTTTGCTCTAAATTTTCACTAGAAGTTTAAATGTTTATAAGTAAAATCAGACCTCACAAGTTTATTGTCCCTTGATCTGCCCCCACACACTAACAAAGCCTTTACATTCAGTCACTGATTCTTGCTGGTTTTCTGTCCTTAAAATTTCCCACTCCCCTTTCCTTCATCTCTGTTATACTAGCTCAGCTAACACCTGCATTCTTTCTCAAAGAGAACAAGTGTAACTCGGCATTACCTGCCTCAAACTCATCAGCGTCCTATCCATTCTCCTACTGCTACCACAGAATTACATTCCTACAGTGCTAATTAAGGACAAGTCTCCCCTGCTTGAAATTCATCACTTTCTCTTTCTCTTTGTAAATTAAATTCTCACTCTTCAGTGTGGCTTTCAGGTTTCTTCAGGATCCCCACGCCACGCCACCCACCCCTGCCCATCCTATTTCTCTTGCTTCTCCTCTTGCCACTTAACTTCCTCCAGATCTCCAGTCCATCTGATCGACTTAGGAGTCCTCAAATGCATCATGCTCTTCCACACATATTTCTCCCTTCTCTGCTTTTTCTGTGTGCCTTTCTTTTAGCCTGGTTAACTTAATCTAAATTAAGTCTCCTTAATTCTCTAAACTTCGATGGGAGTAAGAAGTCTCTGCATGTGTCCCCAAACCACTCTGTGATTAACTCATATCTAGTCAATCTTTAGTATTAAATTCTATTTACTTGTTCTATGTATTTTTTGTTTCTCTCTATAGACACTGAATTCAGAAACTGAGTCTTTTTTTTTTGCCTTTTCTTTTCATTTCTGAATCTCTAATATTTAGCAAACTGCCTAGTATATAGTAACTATTCAGTAAGGGCTTATTAAGTAAATGGCTATAAAACCTGTTAATAAAGCAAAGCTAGTTTTATCAGAACACACTGCAATTAGCAATAATACCACCTTGGCAGAATCTTGGCAATGTCTCAGGAGAGGGTAGTCAGTGGAGAATATGTGAGGTTTTAGAATCTGAGATCAAGAGATTTAATGAGACTCTTTCAATTTAGGAAACACTGGAATTGAGAACAAATAGTGACGTTATAGATTAATGCAAATAGTGAGGCAAGAGTCTCGAATAAAGTCATGTAATGTGAACTCCTGTTTGGTAGGTGAGCTGTTGTCCTGGTAACTAGATGGTTTTCTCAAATAAATTTATTTTCAGGAATTAACTGAAACAAAAGTAAAATTGTTTATTGGTTTACAGAATGGCCTCATTCTTAGTCCTAATAGCTATGTCATGTTGATGCAGGTGGTCACAGTTCCTAGTTTTGTCATCCCTTCACCCCTAAAGCTACATCTTCCTATTTTAAGCTGACTCTTAAACTCTTCCCAGGTACGAATAGAAATAGCACCACTGAATACAACCCTTTCTGATATGCAAATTTGGTTACTACCAGAAATTTCATACATGCTAGAGAGAATTGTTTTCCTCCCTTCACAGAGCAGATACAAATGTCAGGTCACAAAGTCAAGTGTGCAAGAAGTGCAATTTCTTTTCTTTTTCTACATCTGAGTTTATTTGTATTTTTTGAGCTCCTTGTAAAATTGTTGACAAGAAGCAAATCTCAGTCAATTTAGAAACTCACTGCCTTCTTGCCCCTCCTTTAATTATATATTTGTTTTAAGGGCCTTTGCGAGTGCCTCAGGAAAGCCATGTGTTGGTGTTGAATGCATTTAGTCCTGGGTCCAGTGGTCATTTGCACTCATTGGCATCCAGTAAGGTCTTTTCCTTGTCATCTGGTCTCCAACCATCAGTCTATATAAATGGCAGCTCTTCCCTGTTCATCCTATCTGTAAGGACATTTCAGGCCTGCATATTCTCTGTGCCATACTAGACCCCAAGCTAAGTCTGCAGAAGAAAACCTTCCACTACACACTTTCCACTCTGAAATTCATGAGACTTTTTTGTAGCACCATCTCTGCTGTATTCATCCTGAAAACCACACCAACATTTCTTTTGCTACACGTGTTCTGAGAACCGAATGACTGCTAAACAAAACAAAACAAGCTAGCTCTGATTATCCTTCCAATTCTGTTATACCTGCCACACACTGAATGCTTTTTTCTTGCTGCATCATTCCTTCTTAGAGCCAGTAAACCACAATGCCCTCACTGAGGGCTGAGGTGTGAAGAGTCATGGAATAATAAGAAATCTTGATAACCAAAAAATCATCTCCTCATGTGTCAAAATATTACCCCCAGTGAGTTTTGCAATATCTGGTTCTCTTTAAGAGGTCCACAGTCAGGTTAGTTCCTTCCAGCTTCTTCCTCGACCTCACCACTGCTGTCTTGCCCCTTCCTTGCAACCCCTGAAACTTCAGCAAGCTTGCCAGTGAGTTATAAGTGTTATAGTACCGTGAAGTTACAGTCTTCTAATTTTTTGTTTCATTGAATTTCAGAATACAACTTCTTAACTTCCAAAAGCTGCAAAAAGCTTTTATACTTAAACCAAATTGCTTCACTTATTATAGGTTATATCCTAGTGTCATTTTCAGTCTGTATGTGTTCAATAGTTTTAATTTGAGAGAAAAATAAGACATGGCTGAAGTTGTCTTGAGATTTCTGGGAAAAAAAATAGCTCTAAAAAATATAGTCCAAAAATAGATAAATGCCCAAAACAATGGCTTCTGCTTAGTATAACTAAATGGCTCTTATCATGGTCCCTGATCAGCACCAATAGCATCATTAGGAAATTTTCAGAAGTTCAAATTTTGACCACCATCTCAAATCTATTGATCAGAAACTTTGCATCCCAGCAATTTGTGTTTTTTAACAATTCTAAATGATTCTAGATGCTAAAGTTTGAGAACCATTGATATAGCTACTTAAATAATCTAAAATTAGACTCTCAGAATCAGTAAAGCAAAAACTAACTAAAAGTTATTTCACTGAAGGATCATTATTGCTTGTAGAACTTTACTTCCAATGCCAATTCCCTACAGATTTCCTATTTGTGTGCTTTGCAGATGCAGAAAGGCGTTTTTAAAGATTGAATTTAGGTTTTTGTCTTTCTTAGGTTTGTATTGCTTCTGCTCATCTTTTCTTCAGAAAGAATGGGAATTTTGCCTAAACTAACCTGATGATACGAGAGAGTAACCTGGGTGCTTCAGTTCTTCAATTCTGAGATTAAAATGAGTAAATGGCCTTCTAATAATGGCACAACACATTCTGACAGGGCTAACTCAGAGCTTCTCAGAGGGTAGGTATCAGTCAACAGCTCCATGCATCAGAATCACTTGAGACAACTGGTAAACATACTAATTTCCTTATTCCAGAGGAAGTCTACCAAATCAAAGTTTAAAGAGGAAGCTACAGAACCTTCATCATGAACACTGACTTACTGTAATTCTCACACACACTAAAGTTGGAAAATGTTAGGCCAGAGAGACATTTGAGTCTTTAGACATTTGTAGCCACCCTACAAAACAACACTTAAAAGACTATTTGATGCAAAACTTGACAAGTTAATTTGCATTATTGCCTCACACAGAAAATATTTGCACTTCCATGTGACTTTAAATATATATATTTTTTCTTATCCTGATATTTCACCTTCAAAGAAATGGCAAGCAGTGTCTCACTAGAGTCAAGTGTTTAAAAGTGAAAAGTATGATTCAAGATTACAAAGATGTAGGAGTTGAAACAACTGCTACCCACAGATTTTTGTTCACAGGTACATAATGTGTGCACAGAGGTATTTTTAAATACATCAGACTATATCTGTTTTTGACATACTCAGCAACAACTGCTTTATAGACCTCTACCTGTGAACATTGAGGTTAGACATTCAGAGCCTTGATTACTTAAATGCATGAATTTAATTAGGTGATAAAAAAGAAACAACAAAAAAAGATGTGGTGTTTGAAGATTTTGAAAACTGTAAATGTCTGATGCTTGACCTAATTATACTCAGTCCTAGGATAAAATATAAATATCTATTA
The DNA here is from genome assembly GCF_000001405.40 of Homo sapiens. Taxonomy (NCBI): domain Eukaryota; kingdom Metazoa; phylum Chordata; class Mammalia; order Primates; family Hominidae; genus Homo; species Homo sapiens. The sequence continues at coordinate 115,291,399 of NC_000006.12, forward strand.
AGTGAGGGTCCCATATAAATGTAAGTGCTTTTATCCTACAGTGCCATCATGAGATTGTTGGACACCTAGCCCATTCAATGCATATCAGCCTAGATACCTCAGTTTTATAAATATCTCTGAAAATACAAATATTAAAAATAAAATGGTTTAGATATAAAATATCCAAAGTCAATTAACAAGTACTTCACCATATTTACCAGATAATTCAGAATATAGATATGTAGATGTATTTTTGCTTATTGACTTATTAACTACTATTATGGGAACAATGGTATTATATAGAGAGGAACAGAGCTATTTATTCAGGATCTTTTATCTGCCCCTAAACCACATGGTTGCATCCTTCTAAGGCTCTTATCCTGTCTACCAATCTGTGTCCTTTAAGTGTAGTATGGAGTATATTACTTATAAAATTCCTGACAATTTTGGTATTAAACTTACCATTTTCTTTCTGGGGGTATATGTGCATGCACATGTGCATGAGTGTCTGCATGTGACATTGTGAGTGTGTGTGTGTGTGTGTGTGTGTGTAGTTGTCTCTCCTGCTTTACTAGATTGACAGTTCTGTTGAAAGCAACCCTGCCTTACTGCAGCAACTAGCTAAGCTAAAAGCCAAATTTGAACTACACATATGAGAGAACGATGGCTCTCATATTCTTGGCCTTGTGATTTTTAAAAAGGTACAGAATATCAAGAATTAAGTTTTATTTAGAACTTTCTGTGTGCCTGGCACAGTTCTAAGATCTTTCAGATATTGTTCCATTTAAACTTCACACAGGGATCATACAATTCTATTAACCCCTTTATCCAGATGAGGAAATTTAAGCTTTAAGAGCTAATTAGTGTAGAGTTGGAATATATCCTGGGCTGTCTAACTCAGGCCCTGGACTGCTTCCACCCACTGGGCTTTCCTCTCACTCCTCCAGCAGACGGTGGGGGTTTGGATGACAGCATTTCACATATAAGTGATTCTGATATTCAGCAAGTTTTGAAAACAACTAAAAGCAATTTTAAATGAGGTCTTGAAAGGGTCTCCTCATATCCATGTGCTTTCCTGGATTTTTAAAAGGATTAACATTTTTTTCACTTCGTTTTTTCTCTTACTTGTACCCAACTAGATTTGGTCATAAAATAATAAGTCTGAGACTAGAAACCTGTCCACAAGGCCAAAAAAATGAAAGAGAATATAAGGAGGCCCCAAGGAGGATCTAGTTATGTTTTCTGCAAGAACAGTCTCCCAAATGACAGCTACATAATTCAACTATTCTTTCTGAAAACACATGATAGAACTAAATAGAAACTCCCACCTGAGGAGCTGATTGGAAAGAATAGAGATTAATATATGATATATACTGAATACTTATATTGTATCCAAAAACACATATTTTACTGCTTTTATGTGAATTATTTAAGCCTTTCTGAACAAAAGATTCCTCATCTATACATTGAAAATAACATTTCCACTTCAAAAATTGTTGTCAAGACTAAATGTATCCTGAGGTACTACTATATTCTATCTGAGTTATTCATCAATAGTACACTTGAAGGATAAATTTTTTTAAAAAATCCTGCCTATTCATAAATCTTTTCAAAATCTTTTTGTGGGCTATTGATACTCATGCCACATTGTTTCAGAGAAAGAAAATATATAGAAGGATTTGCAATTGGGGAAGATTCAAAATAAATTTATCTTGGCACATTGTGTGCATTGTAAATCAAATCAAGATAAAGCAAGATTTCAGCATAACAGCCTCTTCATTCTAATTTTTTTCATTTCGGCATTTGGTCAGGTATCTGTTAACATTACAAAATGCAATTGTGACTCAAAAGCAGCTAGTGATAATTCATTGTACTTCTTCCACCGGCTCACAGTGGACCATTTATCATGATGATTAGCCGTTCCAGGTACTTTCAGGAACTATAACAGTTGTCTGAGCCTTCATTCAGAATTCGAGTTCATTCCACCATCTAATACCACTAAATGTCACTGCATAAGAGGAAACATTATGCTCAACTATTGCATTGAAAAGTAAGAAAAATGATAAATGTTTCCATAGCTACAAGTTTGAAAAAAAACAGAACATGCTGAGATGTAAACCAGAACAAATGTGGCAGACAGATGCATTGAACATCCTAAATTTTTTATCCTAAAAGCAAGTAAGTTAAAGTACAACTAGCTAATAGATAGTCAGACACCATTCCCTTTCCTAGTGAATTTGAGGAAGTGTATAAAAGGTGGGCACAGAAGGGTGAAATAATGCACTTGGCCACACACAATATCTATTAAAAAAAAATGTTTGCAGCAGTAAATTCTCTAAAATATTGCCAAAGGATACATTGACCAGAAAGAGACCACCAAAGAGGAGAAGTCACAGTGTCACCCACTTTAGTTTGATTATGGATATTTTGACGTCTCTAGCACTCTACAGACATCATTAACCTGAGTAGCTTCTCCTTAGCAGAAGCTACCAGATCACTTCTGCCTTGCTACTTTCAGAATCTGGTTTTTCTTCGCTAGTACTAACCCACTGAGAGCTCATCAAGTACAAAAGTAAGGCACAGTACCACTCTGGGATGGTTCTGCCCACAGAATACCCTGTAATAGCTCATACAGCCCTCTAATAATGGGAAGAGATATGGATGGATTGTAGGATGTGTAGACTGTATGAATGCATTGTAGGCAAGCTTAGAGTAGGTGACAGAGTCCTAGGAGCTCAATTTGCATTTCTCTATAACATAATTACTATGGGATATGTTAGTTTTTCTTTGAAATCTTTTTTCTTTTTTTTCTTTTGATATAATTAAGGAAATTTCAGGATTACGTTTTGCATATCTTTTATTTTTTTAACTGTCCCAAACTGTTTGCATATTTCAAGGTCAGCCAACTCTGATGGAGATTGCCAAACAAGGTACATTTTTACTATCTTACAATTTTGAGTTTTTTTTAATTTCACCAATCCCAACACTCTGAAGAAACTACACACACACACAAAATAAAATAATGAAGAAGTACCTTTAAAATGAGTATATTTGCTGTTTTCAAAGAGATAGAGGATATAATACAAATTCAAAACGAGTATAAAGAATTAAGATCATTTGACCCAGCCATCCCATTACTGGGTATATACCCAAAGGAGTATAAATCATGCTGCTATAAAGACACATGCACACGTATGTTTATTGCGGCACTATTCACAATAGCAAAGACTTGGAACTAACCCAAATGTCCATCAATCATAGACTGGATTAAGAAAATATGGCACATATATACCATGGAATACTATGCAGCCATAAAAAAGGATGAATTCACGTCCTTTGTAGGGACATGGATGAAGCTGGTTACCATCATTCTGAGCAAACTATTGCAAGGACAGAAAACCAAACACCTGATGTTCTCACTCATAGGTGGGAATTGAACAATGAGAACACTTGGACACAGGGTGGGGAATATCGCACACTGGGGCCTGTCGTGGGTTTGTGGTGGGGAAGGATAGCATTAGGAGATATACCTAATGTAAATGATGAGTTAATGGGTGCAGCACACCAACATGGCACATGTATACATATGTAACAAAGCTGCACGTTGTGCACATGTACCCTAGAACTTAAAGTATAATAATAAAAAAAGGAATTAAGAAACAAGAGCAAATGCTTCTGTAAAGGAATCAAATTGAAAATTTAGAAATAAAAAATAATAACTGCTGAAGTAAAATCTCAATAGAGGACATTTATGTGTAATAATATTGCAAATTTGATGTTTAGCAAAATTCTTCCTGATTCAGAGCACAAAAATTCTGGATGATGTTTGTAAAATTAAAAAAATAATAAAGCATGGCTGAACAATTTGGCAATAAAGAACACAACTCAAAACCAAAATTTAGGTTCATAGGGATTGGCAAACCCTGGATTTAGAATTTAATCTGATAAACTGTTATTAGGTAGAGCCAGGGTTTTAACTGAACGTTCAAATATAGGGAACAGCAGACAAAGCCTGGGTTTAAATAAGATGAAAGGAGATCAGAAATACATGAAATAAAGCCAGAAGCTTCAAACTACTAAAATCTCTTGGTAAACTTTGGGGAAAACATATGTGCTCTAAGAGAGGGTTGCATACTAACTTGTTTCAGCAATACAATTAAGCTAAGAGAAGTATTTTTTTATCTATTAAAAATTTCTAGTCACAAGACCAACCTCTATGGGATTTGAAAAATGAAAATATAAAGTGGTCTGGCATTGCTAATGCTCATATATGATGAAGAGAAAGAAAGCAAATTATCTTGAGTTAAGCACTTTAAACACAGGCCTCTAATATTTCCTTCAAGATTCTCAGAAAATGAGTACATGCACACACACACACACACACACACACACACACACACACACACACAAAATAAGGGGGAAAATGCCATATTAAGAGTCTACGAACAGTAAAACCCAAAATGAGAGCAACTCAGACTGAAAATAGTAAAATTATCTGAGAAGCAATAAGTCTTATAGACAACATACTGTATATAAAATACATACTATGCTTAAGGCCGTAAAAGAAAATATTAAATGTGTGTTTAAAGAAAAAGAGGCTATTAAAAAAAAACTCAAATAGAGCTTTTAGATTCATAAAATGTGATAATTAACAATTCAACAGGCATATTATTAAGCAGATTTAAAAGAGATTTAATCTCTCATGTGATGGGTGAAAAATATCTTTTTAAAGGCAGTTTAAAAAGCTTTGATAAACAAGAACACATATTTGAAGAAATTACACAGAATGAAGACCAGGTAGATGGCATAATAGAAAATATGGAAGTGTTATTACAAGCCATGAAACACACAGCGAGAAGACCTGATATATGCAAAATCTGAGTGTCAGGGAGACTATTACATCAAAAAGAGGCAATATTTGAAAAATATGGCATAATACTTTATAAGAGTGATAAAAGACAGAAAGCCCAGTGGATGTCAATACAATAAATAAAAGAAAACCATGCCTAGATGCATAACAAAGACTATTTTAAAAATCGATCAGAAAGAAAAGGCAGATAATTACAAATAAATTACAAATAGACCAACAGCCAATTTAGCAGCAGCAAGAACAGAAGTCAGAAGAATGATGATTAATATTTTCTAAGTGCTAAAGGAAAATAGATGTTAAACAGAAGGGTGTACCTAACAAAATTACATAGCAAGAGAAAAGTTTCAATAAGGACTTCACAGATAGATGCAATGAATAAAATTTATCCCAAACCAGGACTTACAAAGTACATGCAGCCATAGCAGAATGAAGGAAACTGTCTCCAGACGGAAAATCTGAGATCCAATAAATAATGATGAGAAAAACAAAGGAGAAAATATTTGCTATACCTATAAATAAAGTCTTTATAAAAGAACAACAATTATTTTATGAAGTTTAAAATGACGGCAGAGCGCAGTGGCTCATGCCTGCAATCCAGCACTTTGGGAGGCCAGAGGTGGGCAACTTGCCTGGCCAACATGGTGAAAACCCATCTCTACCAAAAATGCAAGAATAGTCGGGTGTGGTCATGCATTTCTGTAATCCCAGCTACTCAGGAGGCTGAGGCATGAGAATTGCTGGAATCAGGGAGGCGGAGGTTGCAGTAAGCCTAGATAGTGCCACTGCATTCCAGCTTGGGCTAAAGAGTGAGACTTTGTCTCAAGATAAAAAATAATAATAATAAATAAAATAAAATAAAATGAGGGCAGAGCCAAAATATAAAGTATAATAATGCAAGTTGCTATGGGTTGATCTTAGACCAACTGTTCTAAGGTCTCTGTATTATTGTTTGTGAGTGTGAGTAGATTGGCTAAGCTATTGATTGATTCCTAGTTTGCTGTATTAAATATGTACATTACAATTTCAAGAGTTGAGTTGGAGTGTTCTAATTGAATTGAAATAAATGTTTACCTTCTAAACCAGTAGATGGAGGGCAAATGAGAATAGTAAACAAACATGTAAATGCAATATATAAAATTAAAGTCAGGTAAGAAAAGAGAAAGAAGTGTGGCAAAAGTGAGACACACTGAAAGTACAAAGTATGATAATGAAGACTAATACATTAGTGATTGTAACAAATGTCATGTTACAAAAAGATGCCAAACTGTATTGTTAATCTTACTATACTCTTTTACAAGAGTCACTAATAAAAATAAGGGCATAAAACGTTGAAAGAAAAGGTCCTTCACATCCCTTATAAATTGTATTCCTAGTATTTTATTCTCTTTGTAGCAATTGTGAATGGGAGTTCACTCATGATTTGACTCTGTTTATCTATTATTGATGTATAGGAATGCTTGTGATTTTTGCACATTGATGTTGTATCCTGAGACTTTGCTGAAGTGGCTTATCAGATAAGGAGATTTGGGGCTGAGACGATGGGGTTTTCTAGATATAGGATCATGTCATCTGCAAACAGAGACAATTTGACTTCCTATCTTCCCATTTGAATACCTTTATTTCTTTCTCTTGCCTGATTGCCCTGGCCAGAACTTCCAATACTTTGTGGAATACGAGTAGTGAGGGAGGACATCCTTGTCTTGTGCTGGTTTTCAAAGAGAATGCTTCCAGCTTTTGCCCATTCAGTATGATATTGGCTGTGGGTTTGCCATAAATGGCTCTTATTATTTTGAGATACGTTCCATCAATAACTAGTTTATTGACAGCATTTAGCAAGAAGGGGTGTTGAATTTTAATGAAGACCTTTTCTGCATCTACTGAGATAATCATGTGGTTTTTGTCATTGGTTCTGTTTATGTGATGGATTACGTTTATTCATTTGCATATGTTGAACCAGCCTTGCATCCCAGGGATGAAGCCGACTTGAACGTGGTGGATAAGCTTTTTGATGTGCTGCTGGATTCGGTTTGCCAGTATTTTATTCAGGATTTTCTCATCGGTGTTCATCAGGGATATTTGGCTGAAATGTTTTTTGTCATTGTATCTCTGCCAGGCTTTAGTATCAGGATGATGCTGGGCTCATAAAGTGAGTTAGGGAGGAGTCCCACTTTTTCTGTTGTTTGGAATAGTTTCAGAAGGAATGGTACCAGGTACCAGCTACTCTTTGTACCTCTGGTAGAATTTGGCTGTGAATTCATCTGGTCCTGGGCTTTTTTTGGTTGGTAGGCTATTAATTATTGCCTCAATTTCAGAACTTAATATTGGCCTATTCAGGGGTTCGACTTCTTCCTGGTTTAGTCTTGGGAGGGTGTATGTGTCCAGGAATTTATCCATTTTTTTCTAGATTTTCTAGTTTATTTGCATAGAAGTATTTATAGTACTCTCTGATGGTAGTTTGTATTTCTGTGGGATTGGTGGTGATATCCCCTTTGTCATTTTTTATTGCGTCTATTTGATTCTTCTTGCTTTTCTGCTTCATTAGCCTGGCTAGTGGTAAACCACTGCTCAAGTAAATAAGAGAGGACACAAACAAATGGAAAAACATCCTATGCTCGTGGATGGAAAGAATAAATATCAGGAAAATGACCATACTGCCCAAAGTAATTCATAGATTCAATGCTGTTCCCATCAAACTACCACTGACATTCTTCACAGAATTAGAAAAATCTACTTTAAATTTCATATGGAACCAAAAAGAGCCCGTATAGCCAAGACAATCCTAAGCAAAAAGAACAAAGCTAGAGGCATCACTATACTATACTACAGGGCTACAGTAAACAAAACAGCATGGTACTGGTACCAAAACAGATATACAGAACAGTGAAACAGAACAGAGGCCTCGGAAATAATGCCACACATCTATAACCATTTGATCTTTGACAAACCTGACAAAAACAAGCAATGGTGAAAGAATTCCCTGTTTAATAAATGGTGTTGGGAAAACTGGCTACCCATATGCAGAAAACTGAAACTGGACCCCTTCCTTACACCTGATACAAAAATTAACTCAAGATGGATTAAAGACTTACATGTAAGACTTAAAACCATAAAAACCCTAGAAGAAAATCTAGGCAATACCATTCAGGACAGGCATGGGCAAAGACTTCATGACTAAAACACCAAAAACAATGGCAACAAAAGTCAAAATTGACAAATGGGATCTAACTAAAGTAAACAGCTTCTGCACAGCAAAAGAAACTACCATCAGAGTGAACAGGCAACCTATACAATGGGAGAAAATTTTTGCAATCTATCCTTCTGACAAAGGGCTAATGTCCAGAATCTACAAGGAACTTAACCAAATTTACAAAAAAAAAAAAAAGGAAACAAAGAAAAAAAAAACAACCCCATAAAAAAGTGGGTGAAGGATGTAAACAGACGCTTCTCGAAAGAAGACATACATGCAGCCAACAAACACAAGAAAAAAAGCTCATCATCACTGGTCATTAGAAAAATGCCAATCAAAACCACAATGAGATACTGTCACGCCTGTTAGAATGGTGATCATTAAAAAGTCAGGAAAGGCTGGGCGGGGTGGCTCATGCCTGTAATCCCAGCACTTCGGGAGGCCAAGGCAGGCAGATCACGAGGTCAGGAGATCGAGACTATCCTGGCTAACATGGTGAAACCTCATCTCTTCTAAAAATACAAAAAATTAGCCAGGCGTGGTGGCAGGTGCCTGTAGTCCCAGCTACTCGGGAGGCTGAGGCTGAGGCAGGAGAATGGCGTGAACCCAGGAGGCAAAGGTTTCAGTGAGCCGAGATTGTGCCACTGCATTCCAGCCTGGGCAACAGAGCAAGACTACATATCAAAAAAAAAAGAAAAAAGAAAAAAAAAAGAAAGAAAAGAAAAAGTCAGGAAACAGATGCTGGAGAGGATGTGGAGAAATAGGAACACTTTTACACTGTTGGTGGCAGTGTAAATTAGTTCAACCATTGTGGAAGACAGTGTGGCAATTCCTCAAGGATTTAGAACCAGAAATAGCGTTTGACCAGCAATCCCATTACTGGGTATATACCCAAAGGATTTTAAATCATTCTACTATATAGATACATGCACACTTATGTTTATTGCAGCACTATTCACAATAGCAGACTTGGAACCAACCCAAATGCCCATCAATGATAGATTGAATAAAGAAAATGTGGCACATATACACCATGGAATACTATGCAGCCATCAGAAAGGATGAGCTAATGTCCTTTGCAGGAACATGGTTGAAGCTGGAAACCATCATTCTCTGCAAACTAACGCAGAAACAGAAAACCAAAGACTGCATGTTCTCACTCATAAGTGGGAGTTGAACAATGAGAACACATGAACACAGGGAGGGGAACATCACACACAGGGGCCTTTCAGGAGGTAGGGGGCTAGGAGAGGGATAGCATTAGGATAAATACCTAATGTAGATACAGGTTGATTGGTGCAGCAAACCACTATGGCACGTGTATACCTATGTAACAAACCTGCACATTCTGCACATGTATCCCACAACTTAAAGTATAATAAAAAAAAAAAAGTTTAAAGAAAAAAATAAAGAGAAACTATACCAGTTAAAAAAAAAACTAACAAAAATAAAGCTAGAGTAGTTATATTAATATTAAGTAAAAATAAACTTTAAAATCAACATCACAGATTGATAGCATCACTGTCTAATAATAAAAGGTTTAATTCTCCAAGAAGATAAAACACTTTTAAACTCATAATCATCTAAAGTATCAAACTGTATTTTATAAAATTGATAGGAATATACAGAAAAAATTTTAAATCCACCATCACATAGATGAAGCAGATCAAAATGGTTAAATACAGAAGAATTGAAAACATGACTAATAAACTGGATTTTATTTATTTATCCAACTTGCATTTCTTGAACTTATGTTTTGTGTCAGGTACTGTTCTAGTTGGTGCTTTTGAGAATATTTAGAACATGTGGTAGAATAGAGTAATTTTTTTATTTTTAACGGCAACATTTAATTATACATATTTATGGGGTACAATTTGATGTTTTGATACATACCTATGTTGTACAATGATCCAATCAGTGCATTTAGTGATTCGTCAACTCTTATATTTATTATTTCTTTGTGGTGAGAACATTCAAATGACTTATTCTAGCCATTTTGCAAGGTACAATATTTTATTGTTAACCACAGTCACCCCTACTGGGCAATAGAACACTGGACTTTATTCCTTCTATCTAATTGTAACTTTGTACATGTTAATCAACTTCTTATCATCTCTTCCAACTTTTTTTTTTAGATTCTATATATGAGGGAGATCTTATGCTGTTTGTTTTTCTATGTCTGGCCTATTTCACACAACATAATATTCTCCAGACCCATCCGTATTGTCACAAATAACAGGATTTCATTTTTATTATTTTTTATGACTGAATAGTGTTAAATTGTGTATATATGCCACATTTTCTTTATCTATTTATTCATTGTTGGACACTTAGGTTAATTCCATATCTTGGCTATTGTAAATGCTGTTACAACAATAAATGGGAGTGCAGACGCCCCTTTGACATACTGATTTCCTTTCATATGTGTGTGTGTGTGTGTGTGTGTGTGTGTGTGTGTGTGTGTGTGTGTATTCTCAATAGTGGGATTGCCAGATATTTTTTAAAGAAATTCCATACTCTCTCCTATAGTGACTGTACTAGTTTACAATCCCACCAATAGTGTACAAATATTGTCTGCCCTTCACGTCCTTGCCAAAACTTGTTTTCTTTATAACACTCACTCTAACTGGGGTAAGATGATATCCCATGGTGGTCTGATTTGCATTTCCCTGATGATTAGTAACGCTGAATATTTTTTCATACACCTATTGGCCATTTGTATGTCTTCATTTGAAAAATGTCTATTAAGTTCTTTTGCCCTTTTTGAAATTGAGTTATTTGTTTTATTGGTAGGTTAAGTTTCATATATATTCTGGATATTAGCCTCTTGTCTTAGGTATAGTTTGCAAATATTTTCTCTCATCCTGTAGGTGGTCTCTTCACTCTGTTAATAGTTTCCTTTGCTGTGCAAAAGCTCTCTGGTTTGATCTCATTTGTCTGTTTTTGCTTTTGTTGCCTGTGCTTTTGAGATCTTATTTAAAAAATCCTTTCTTAGCACAATGTCATGAGGCATCCCCTTGTTTCCTTCTAGTAGTTTTATAGTGTCAGATTTCAAATTTAAGTCTTTAATCCATTTTTAAGTTGACTTTTTTATATGTTGAGAGGTAGGGTTCTAGCCTTATTCTTCTGCATGTGGATTTCCAATTATCCCAGTACCATTTATTAAAAAGACTCTTTCCCCAACATGTGTTCTTGGTAACTTTATCAAAAATCAGCTGTTTTTAGGTTCATGAATTTATTTCTGGGCTCACCTTTCTTTTCCATTGGCCTATCTATCTGTTTTCATGCCAATACCATGCTATTAATATTTAAGTTACTATAGCTTTGTAATACATTTTGGAGTCAAGTAGCATGCCTCCAACTTTGCACATTTTGTTCAGGATTACTTTGGCTATTTGTGGTCGTGTGTGCTTCCATATTAATTTAAGGATTGCTTTTGTTCTGTGTGTGTGAAGAATGTCGTTGGTATTTTGGTAGGGATTGTATTACATCTGTAAATCACCTTGGGTAGTATGGCCATTTTAACAATGCTAAATTTATGGACCATGAACGCAGGATTTATTTGTTTTCTCTTCAATTTCTTTTACCAAAGTTTTACAGTTTTCAGTGTAGGAATCTTTCATCGTCTTGGTTAAGTTTATTCCTAGGCAATACTTATTTTGTAGCTTTTGTAAGTGAAATTGTTTTCTTGATTTTTTTTTCAGGTAGTTCACAATTGGTGTACAGAAACAGTACTAATTTTTATTTTTTATTTTTAAATTTATTTGTTTATGATTTTAATTTTAGAGAGACACAGTCTCACTCACTTGCCCAGGCTGGGGTGCAGTAGTGTGATCATGGCACACTGTAATCTCAAACTCCTGGGCTCATGTGATCCTCATACCTCAGCCTGCTGGGTAACTAGGATTGAGGATGCATACAACACCTGGCTAACTTTAAAATATTTTTTTTGTGGCCGGGCGCGGTGGCTCACGCCTGTAATCCCAGCACTTTGGGAGGCCGAGGCGGGCGGATCATGAGGTCAGGAGATCGAGACCATCCCGGCTAAAACGGTGAAACCCCGTCTCTACTAAAAATACAAAAAAATTAGCCGGGCGTAGTGGCGGGCGCCTGTAGTCCCAGCTACTTGGGAGGCTGAGGCAGGAGAATGGCGTGAACCCGGGAGGCGGAGCTTGCAGTGAGCCGAGATCCCGCCACTGCACTCCAGCCTGGGCGACAGAGCGAGACTCCGTCTCAAAAAAAAAAAAAAAAAAAAAAATATTTTTTTTGTGTGTGGAGAGATGGGGGTCTCACTATGTTGCTCATGCTGGTCTCAAACTCCTGGCCTCAAGCAATCCTCTCACCGTGGCCTCCCAAAGTGTTGAGGTTACAGGTGTGAGCCACCATATATGGCCCACACTACTGATTTTTGTATGTTGATATTATATCTTGCAAGTTTCTTGAATCAATTTGTTAGACCTAACAGTTTTTTGATGGAGTTTTTAGGGTTTTCTAAATATAAGATCATGCCATCTGGAAACAATAATTTGACTTCCTCCTTTCCAATTCGAATGCCTTTTATTTCTTTCTCTTTCTAATGACTCTGGCTACAACTTCTAGTACTGTGTTGAATACACGTGATAAAAGTGAGTATCCTTATCTTGTTCCTGATATTAGAGGAAAAGCTTTTAACTTTTCCCATTCAGTGTAATGTTACCTGTAGATGTGTCTTATATGGCCTTTATTATTTTCTATACCTTCTATACCTAATTTGTCAAGAGTTTTTATCAAGAAAAGGTGTAGAATCATGTCAAATGCTTTTCTTGAGCCTATCAAAATGATCAAATGGATTTTGTCTTTCTTTCTGTTAACATGATGTATTACATTTATTGATTTACATATGTTAAAGCATCCTTGAACACTTGGCATGAATCCCATTTTATCACAGTAAATTGTCTTTTTAACGTACTGTTGCATTCAGTTTGCTAGTTTCTTGTTGAGAATTTCGCATCTATGTTCATCAGAGATATTGGTCTGTAGTTTTCTTTTGTGTGTGTGTCCTTGCCTGGTTTTGGAATCAGGAAATGCTGGTCTCATACAATAAGTCTGGAAGTACTCCCTCCTCTTTAATTTTCTCAAATAATGTGAGGAGACTTGGTATGAGTTCTTCAGTGAAGCCATCAGGTATTAGGCTCTTCTTCTATGGAAGACTTTTATTGCTGATTAAATTTCCTAACTTATTTTTGCTTTGTTCGGATTTTCTATTTATTCATAATTTAATATTGATAGATTGTGTGTCCAGGAATTTATCCATTTCTTCTATGCTATCAAATTCATTGGCATATAGTTGTTCAGAATAGTTTCTTATGGTTCTATTTTTGTGGTATCAGATGTAATGTCTCCTTTTTTAATCTCTGATTTTATTTATTTGAATCTTCTCTCATTTTTTCTCAGTCTAGCCAACAGTTTGTTGATTTTGTTTTTATTTTCAAAAGACCAACTCCTTGTTTTGTTAATCTTTTGGATTTTTAAGTCTCTATTTCATTTATTTTTGCTCTGACCTTTTAGAATTTTCTTCCCTGTTGCAACTTTGAGTTTAGTTTATTTTTGTTGTTTTAGTTTCTTGAGGTGCATTGTTAGGTTGTTTATTAGAAATCTTTCTTTTCTGATATAGGCATTTATTGCAATAAAGTTTTCTATTAGCACTGCTTTTGCTAGATCCCACAGGTTTCGATATGATGTGTTTCTATTCTTGTTTGTCTAAATGAAATTTTCAATTTCCCTTTTAATTTCTTCTTGGCCTGTTGGTTGTTTAGAGACGTATTTAATTTGCATATACTCTTAAAGTTTCTGAAGCTTTTCTCGTTGTTGATTTCTAGTTTTATACCATTGTGGCCAGAAAAATTACTTGATATGGTTTCTATCTTCTTAAATTTGTTAATACTCTTTTTAGGGCTTAATATGATTTTGGAAAATGTTCCATGTGCAGTTGAGAAGAATGTGTAGTCTGTAACAGTTGAATGGAATGTTTTGTAAATTTCCGTTTAGGTCCCTTTGGTTTGTAGTGCAGATTAAGTCTAATGTTTCTTTGTCAATTTTTTGTCTAGATGAACTGTCCATTGTTGGAAGTGGAGTGTTGAAATTCTCTACTATTATCATATTGCAGTACATCTCTTAGGTATAAACTCTCTTAGGTATAATATATGCCTTTATATCTGGTGTCCTGGTTTTGGATGCATATATATTTACAATTATCATGTCTTTTTGTTTAATTAATTTTTAATTATTATGTAATTACCTTTTTGTCTTTTTTTCACAATTTTTGACTTAAAGGCTATTTTATCTGATATAAGTATCGCTATTTCTTCTTACTTTTGGTTACCGTATGCATGGGATGTCTTTTTCCATCCTTTCACTTTCTTTTTTTTTTTTTTGAGATAGCATTTCTCATTTTATTTATTTTGCTTTTTATTTTTATTATTTATTTTATTTCAACAGGTTTTTGAGAAACAGGTGGTGTTTGGTTACATGAATAAGTTCTTTAGTGGTGATTTCTAAAATTTTGGTGTACCTATCACCCGAGCATTGTATACTGTACCCAATGTGGTCTTTTATTCCTCACCTCCCTCCCACCCTTTCCCCTGAGTCCCTGAAGTCCATTGTATCATTCTTGTGGATTTGCATCCTCATAGCTTAGCTTCCACTTATGAGTGAGAACATACAATGGTTGTTTTTCCATTCCTATGTTACTTCACCTAGAATAATGGTCTCTAATGCCATTATTGCATTCCTTTTTATGGCTGAGTAGTATTCCAGGATATATATATATATATATACATACACACACACACACACACACACACATACACACACACACACACACACACACACATATATATTTATATAATCACAATTTGTTTTTCCACTCATTAATTGATGGGCATTTGGGCTGGTTCCATACTTTTGCAATTGCAAATTGTGCTGCTGTAAACATGCGTGTGTAAGGATCTTTATTGCATAATGATTTCTTTTCCTCTGGGTAGATACCCAGTAGTGGAATTGCTGGATGGTAGTTCTACTTTTAGTTCTTTGAGGAAACTCCATAGTGTTTTCCACAGTTGTACTAGTTTACATTTCCACCAACAGTGTAAAAGTGTTCCTTTTCACCACATCCATGCTAACATCTATTATTTTTTCATTTTTTTTGATAATGGCCATTCTTGCAGGAGTAAGGTGGTAACACATTGTGGTTTTGATTTGCATTTCTTTGATCATTAGTGATGCTGAGCATTTTTTCATGTTTGTCGTCCATTTGTATACCTTCTTCTGAGAATTGTCTATTCATGTTGTTAGCCCACTTTTTGACGGGATTGTTTCTTTTTTTTCTTGCTGATTTGCTTGAGTTCATTGTAGATTCTAGTTCTTTGTCAGATGTATAGATTGCGAGGATTTTCTCCCACTCTGTGGGTTGTCTGTTTACTCTGCTGATTGCTTCTTTTGCTGTGCAGAAGTTTTTTAGTTTAATTAAGTCCCATCTATTTATCTTTGTTTTTATTGCATTTGCTTTTGGATTCTTGGTCACAAATCCTTTTAGTAAGCCGGTGTCTAGAAGGGTTTTTTTATGACATTATCTTCTAGATTTTTTATGGCTTCAGGTCTTGATTTAAGTCCTTGATCCATCTTGAGTTGATTTTTGTATAAGGTAAGAGATGAGGATCTAGTTTGATGCTTCTACATGTGGCTTGCCAATTATTCCAGCACCATTTTTTGAATAGGGTGTCATTTCTCCATTTTATGTTTTTGTTTGCTATGTCGAAGATCAGTTGGCTGTAAATATTTGTCTTTATTTCTGATTTCTCTATTCTGTTCCATTGGTCTTTGTGCCTATTTTTATACCAGTACCAAGCTGTTTTGATGACTATAGCCTTATAGTATAGTTTGAAGTCATGTAATGTGATGCCTCCAGTTTTGTTCTTTTTGATCAGTCTTGCTTTGTCTATGCAGGCTTTTTTTTATGGTTCCATATGAATTTTCAGATTGATTTATCTAGTTCTGTGGAGAACAGTGGTGGTATTTTGATGGGAATTGAATTGAATTTGTAGATTGCTTTTGGCAGTAAGTTTATTTACACAATATTGATTCTATCCATCCATGATCATGGAATGTGTTTCTATTTGTTTGTGTCATCTACGGTTTCTTTCAGCAGTGTTTTGTAGTTTTCCTTGTAGAGGTCTTTCACCTCCTTGGTTAGGTATATTCCTAAGTATATTATTTTATTTTTTTACAGCTATTGCAAAAGGGGTTAAGTTCTTGATTTGGTTCTCAGCTTGGTCGCTGTTGGTGTATAGCAGAGCTACTGATTTGTGTACATTAATTTTGTATCCTGAAAGTTTGCTGAATTCATTTATCAGTTCTAGAAGCTTTTTGGAGGAGTCTTTAGTGTTTTTTAGGTGTACGATTATATCATCAGCAAATAGCAGCAGTGTGACTTTCTTTTTACTGATTTGGATGCCCTTTATTTCTTTCTCTTGTCTGATTGCTCTGGCTGGCACTTCCTGTACTATGTTGAATATAAGTGGTAAAAGTGGGCATTCTTGTCTTGCTCCAGTTCTCAGAAGAAAAGCTTTCAATTTTTCCCCATTCAGTATTAT
Organism: Homo sapiens; assembly: GCF_000001405.40. NCBI lineage: Eukaryota > Metazoa > Chordata > Mammalia > Primates > Hominidae > Homo > Homo sapiens. The sequence continues at coordinate 115,308,065 of NC_000006.12, forward strand.
ATTGGCTATGAGTTTGTCATAGATGGCTTTTATTACACTAAGATATGTTCCTAGTCTTTGCTACTGTGAATAGTGCCGCAATAAACATACTTGTGCATGTGGAATGATTTATAATCCTTTGGGTATATACCCAGTAATGGGATTGCTGGGTCAAATGGTATTTCTAGTTCTGGATCCTTGAGGAATCGCCACACTGTCTTCCACAATAGTTGAACTAATTTACACTCTCAGCAACTGTGTAAAAGCATTCCTATTTCTCCACATCCTCTCCAGCATCTGTTGTTTCCTGACTTTTTAATGTTCGCCATTCTAACTGGCATGAGATGGTATCTCATTGTGGTTTTGATTTGCATTTCTCTAATCACCAGTGATGATGATCTTTTTTTCATAAGTTTGTTGGCTGCATAAATGTCTTCTTTTGAGAAATATCTGTTCATATCCTTCACCCACTTTTTGATGGGATTGTTTGTTTTTTAAACCATGGAATACTCTGCAGCCATAAAAAAAAAAATGAGTTCATGTCTTTTGCAGGGACATGGATGAAGCTGGAAACCATCATTCTCAGCAAACTAACACAAGAACAGAAAACCAAACACCGCATGGTCTCATTCATAAGTGGGAGTTGAAAAATGAGAACATATGGGCACAGGGAGGGGAACATCACACACTGGGGCCTGCCAGTGGGTGGGGGAGTAGGGGAGGGATAGCATTAGGAGAAGTACCTAATATAGGCGAGGAGATGATGGCTGCAGCAAACCACCATGGCACATGTATACCTATGTAACAAACCTGCATGTTCTGCACATGTATCCCAGAACTTAAAGCATAATAATGATAATAAAATATATAGCAGAAATGAAACATATGTTCCTTCTGTGCTGATTTTGCTGAGAGTTTTAATCATAAAGGGAAGCTGGATTTTGTCAAATGCTTTTTCTGTATCTATTGAGATGATCATGAGATTTTTGTTTTTAATTCTGTTTATGCGGTGTATACATTTATTGACCTGCATATGTTAAGCCTTCCTTGCATCCCTGGTACAAAACTCACATGATCATGGTGGGTTATCTTTTTGATATGCTGTTGGATTCAGTTAGCTAGTATTTTGTTAAGGATTTTTGCCTCTATATTCATCAGGGATATTGGTCTGTAGTTTGCTTTTTTTGTCATGTCCTTTCCTGGTTTTGGTATTAGAGTGGTGCTGACTTCATAGACTGATTTAGGGAGAATTTCCTCTTTATATATCTTATATAATAATGTCAACAGGATTGGTACCAATTATTTGAATGTCTGATAGAATTCAGCTGTGAATCCATCTGGTCCTGGACATTTTTTTAATTGGCAATTTTTAAATTATCATTCAATTTCACTGTTTCTTATTGGTCTTTTCAAAATTTCTATTTCTTCCCGGTTTAATCTAGTAATGTTGCACATTTCCAGGAATTTATTCATCTTCTCTAGATTTTCTAGTTTATGCGCATAAAGGTGTTCATTGTAGCCTTGAATATTCTTTTGTATTTCTATGGTATCAGTGGTAACATCTCCCATTTTGTTTCTAATTGAGCTTATTTGGATCTTCTCTTTTCTTTTCTTGGTTAATCTCACCAATGCTCATCAATTTTAATTATCTTTCCTAAGAATCAGTTTTTTGTACTCTCCCTCTTTTCCTAGGGATGTGGCTTCCTGAGAGCCAAACTGTAGTGATTGTTATTTCCCTTCTGGATCTAGCCACCCAGCTGGGTTACCAGGTTCCAGGACAGTACTAGTGGTGCCTGCACAGAGTCCAGTGATATGAACCATCAGGTGTTGGTATCCACAGGTCTGTCAGCTGTGGATACCAACATCTGCTTCGGTGGTGGTGGTAGGGGACTGAAATGGACTCTGTGAAGGTCCTTAGTTGTATTATTGTTGTTTATTGCATTATTTTTTCTGGTTGGCCTCCTGCTAGGGGGTGGCGCTTTCAAGAGAGCATCAGCTGTGGTAGTATAGAGGATCAGGCAGTGGGCAGGGCCCTAGAACTCCCAAGAGAATATGCCCTTTGTCTTCAGCTACAAGGATGGGTAGGGAATGACCATCAGGTGGGGGCGTTGTTAGGCATGTCTGAGCTCAGACTCTCCTTGAGCGAGGCTTGCTCTGGCTGCTGTGGGGGATGGGATTGTGGTTCCCAGGTTAATGGAGTTATGTTCCCAGAAGGATTATGGCTGCCTCTGCTGTGTCATGCAGGTTGTCACAGAAGTGGGGAAAGCCGGCAGTTACAGGGCTCACCCAGCTCCCACGCAACCCAAAAGGCCGGTCTCACTCCTGCTGTGTCCCCGCCCCACCCACTAACAGCACCAAGTTTCTTTCCAGGCAGTGGGCAAGCAGGGCTGAGAACTTGCCCCAGGCTACCAGCCTCCCACCTGAGAAAGCAAGCAGGGCTTTCATGACTCCCTGCCTGTCAAGCCTGCACACTGAACTCATGCTCTCGCCTGAGTTCTGGTCAGGAAACTGCATTCAGTTGGAATTGTTACAAAGTTTGGCTGGAAGTTTCCTTCTCTCTGTGGTCTTTCCCCAGTTCCTTTTGCAGCCCTCCCCAAGGGCTCTGTGAGACAAGTCAGAAATGGCTTCCCTGGGGACGCAAAGAGCCCACAGGGCTTTTCCCACTGCTTCCTCTACCCCTGTATTTTGCTTGCCTCTCTAAATTGTCTCAGCTCCAGGTAAGGTCAAATCCTTCTCCAGTGATCTGGACCTTCAGGTTCCCCAGTGAGGGTTTGTGTTCAGAAGTGGATGATCCTCCATTACACTTTCACACTTTGGGCACACAGATTTTTGGCTGTCACCAGGGGCATGCAGCAAACCACTTCTTTCAAAGGGCTTTTGGATGCTTTTGGCTTTTCTGGTATGTTCCTGTAGTAGTTTTTGGAGCAGAAGTTCATGATGTGAGTCTTCACACACTGCTCTGTCCCTCTGAGTGGGAGCTGCAATTTAGTCCTGCCTTCTATCCACCATTTTCCTCACCTATCCTTCACTTTCATTCTATTTTTGTCTTAATTGGTGAAGGGAGTCTCTGATAGGCAGCAGTAGTTGGGTCTTCTTTTTTAGCCATTTAGCCACTCTATAACTTTTAGTTGGAGAATTTAATTCATTTCTATTCATGGTTATTATTGGTAGATAAAAACTTACCCTGTCACTTTGTTAGTTGTTTCCTGGTTGTTCTGCAGATCTCTTCCTTTCTTATTGTTCACCTCTGTAGTCTGGTGGTTTTCTGTGGTGCTAAGCTTTATTTCAATTTTCTTTCTGTGGTGCTAAGCTTTATTTCTCCTTCCTTCCTTCCTTCCTTCTTTCTTCTTTCTTTCTTTCTCCTTTCCTTCCTTCCTTCCTTCCTTCCTTCCTTCCTTCCTTCCTTCCTTCCTTCCTTCCTTCCTTCCTTCTTTCTTTCTTTCTTTCTTTCTTTCTTTCTTTCTTTCTTTCTTTCTTTCTTTTCTTTCTTTCTTTCTCTCGCTCTGTCACCCAAGCTGGAATGCAATGGCACGATCTCAGCTCACTGCAACCTCCACCTGCTATGTTCAAGCGATTCTTGTTCCTCAGCCTCACGAGTAGCCGAAACTACAAGCATGAACCACCATGCCAAGCTGAATTTTTTTTTTTTTTTGTACTTTTAATAGAGGCCAGGTTTCACCACATTGGCCAGGCTTATCTCAAACTCCTGGCCTCAAATGATCTTCCTGCCTTAGCCTCCCAAAGTTCTGGGGTTATCACTTCTCTTTCTTGTTTGTGTATCTGGTATCATTTCTTTCCTTGTGGTTACCATGGGACTAACATAAAAAGTCTTATAATAGACTATTTTAAGCTGATAGCAACTCAACTCAGCTTGCATAAAAATACTCTAGATTTCCCTCCTCCCATTTGTATTTTTGTTGCCTTAATTTACTTAATCTACTGTGTGTTCCTTGGCTACTACCGTAGCTGTTGTTTTTGACTTGTTTTGATTTTAAACCTTCATACTAGAAGATGGAGAGAATTACATAGCACCAATATATCATTGGGGTATTTTGTGTTTGATTTATAAATTTATCTATACTCATGAGTTCTATACTTTCACACATTTTCATGGTGATATTACCTTTTAGTTTCCAGTTGTATTACTTCATAATCATTTCTTGTAAGGCAAGCCTAATGGGTAAACTTCTTCAACTTTTGCTTGTCTTCAAAAGTATTTGTTTATCCTTCATTTCTGAAAGATAAATTTGTTGGAGATAGTATTCTTGGATGCCAGTTTTTTTTTCTTTCAGCATTTTCAATATATTATCCCATTCTCTCTTGACTTGCAAGGTTTTTGCTGAAAAATCTACTAATAATATAATGGGAATTATTTTATATGGGACTTGTTACTTTTCTCTTACATCTTTTGGAATTTTATCTTCGTCTTTGACTTTTGACAGTCTGATTATATTGGGCCTCAGAGAGGATCTTCTTGGGTTAAATCTAATTGAAGACTTTTGAGTTTCCTAAATCTGGATGCCCATATCTCTCCCAGTACTTTGGAAATTTTAAGCTATATTTTATAGGTTTTCTGATGTGCCACATGGGTTTAAAAACCAAGGTTAGTGGTTCCATCTCGCTTAGGTTCTGGGTGGCTGGGGTCATGATGCTGCTGGCACCCACCCATGTGAATGTGGTGGAATGACAGTGAAGCCTCATGGGTGGAGAAAGTCAGTTGCTAATGGCCTCCAGGGCAGGACACCCTCTAGTAGTGAGTCCAGTTTTAAAATAATATTGAGCCATAGCATCTTAGATCATGGGGGGTGGGATGTATTCAAAGTAGGTTCCTACTCTAAGCAGTGCAGCTTTTATTAACTCCTGGCTACTCTCCAAACTGGATTCAGAACCTATGAGGACTTGATAGGCTCTTCTGTAGCAATGATTGCTGGTGTTTGTGGCAGTGATAGGAACCATTGGGGATTTCCAGTTTATTCTCTCTTCACAAAAAAAAGTTACCCATGACTCTGAGCTTATTCCAGTGGGAGAAAAAGTATGCCACCCTTCTCTGCGGTGTTATTCTGGTCTTCTGTGTTCCACAGGGATTTTGCCATTCTCCTGGTGCTATCCAGCATACTTCCTCAGTTACTGTAGTTGAAATATCATTGTTTATTCATTGTTCCGATTCCTTTCTGTGGAGAGTTAGCACCTAACTCTAGTCAGTAATTTTACTGATGTCACTCAGAGCTAGAGTAATTTTAGCATATTGTAAAAAAAAGTTGTGTTATATACAAAGATCAGTACAAGAAATACAAATGACAATGGTATATAATTGAAAATTAAGAGAATACTTAATAACTCAAAGACAAAAATGCCATAATGGAAATGTTAAAATATTTAGAAGTATACACAGAATTTAGAACTGTATGACAATAAAATGCCATATCAAAGCTAAAAAATGGTTCTTTGGAATGACTAATAAAGTAGGCAAATGTCTATCAGGCAGAAAACAAAAGAAAATTAAAAGCCATTGAGATTAAAAATAGGTAGGTATCCATAGATAGAGTAAAAATATAAGATAGTATTATAGAGAACTTTCAGAAAAATTGAACGTCTTATGAATAATAAAGTCAAATCAGTATTTTAAAATTTTTTGAGAAAAATAAAACATGCAGAATAAAGAGATTTGAGCTGGAAGCTATTAAATCTCAAGGTAGAGGCTTTCAATCCTGTTGAAAGTCTTCCTAACCTAAAAGGGAGGGGAAATAAACCCAACTCATTCCCTAACCATTTATGGATACGATACAGGTAGAAAACTTTGCTCAGTCTTTAAGAAAGGTGTATTCCCAGATGCTCAGGTGTGACCTAGAAGACAATGAAAAGAAAGAATCTCACAGACAGTGAAGCCAGAGATGCAGAATAATAGAGAAGAAAACTCCTAGGGAGTGAAATTAGGACATAATCAAGGAACTAGGAACCCTCAAAGTATCTTCTTCGGAGTTTCAGAAATGCCTTAACACCAGTGTCTGCTGCATGTCTTAAGTTTCTTTTTCCAAACAAGAGTGTTTTCTGTGGCTACCATATCCTTATTTCATTATTAAATATTAATATTAGGTGTATGAGGGCAAACAATTTTTTCACTTATTGAGGTGATCTATGAAGTAAACTAAACTAAACACCATAGGTACCACATCTAGAACTTCTGTAGTGACTACAGGGCATAACCAAGAGCTCCTGGACTTTCAGCAGATGACATAACTAGGAAGTACTATTGGATAGTCTATCTTGGAATGTAGATGAAAGTGGTTGTGGAAAGAAGGGTGAGGAGTATGGTGATATGCTGTTCACCAAAGCTTTACAGCTTTCCTCTTTCGAGCATATGTAGGATTATGTTTAGAAGCTTTAAGAACCACTTTTTTTTTCTGCTTTGGCAAATTTGGAAAAGTGGAGAAGAAACTTTTCTCAGCCTGAGTAACTGAATATGATGCAGACCAGTGCCCCTCTCTCTAACCCACAGTGGACATGCAGCATGAAACGTAGATCTTGTTTTTTTCACCGATACGTAGGGATTGTTTAATGTTACAGCATATAAACTTCCTGACTTTTGTGTTTTTAGTGATGACAGGAGGAAACAGGCACATAATTGGCCAATATTACTCACTGAATGATCCATGTTTTCCTTTCTGTTTTTTAAAAATTCATATTTATCATGTTATATTCTTGAAATATGTGATTTCTGAATTGTTTACTCCATGCATTAATCTGTGTCCTTCATTCAAGAATTTATATTGTTCAGGTTACAATAACTGTATGCATTTTAATATCTAAAATGTTAGCCTACCCTCAATACTCTTTGTTTTTAAAATTTGCCTGGTTTTTCTTGTTTTTTCTTACATGAAGTTTACACTGTTTGTCTTTTTTTAAAGGAAGCTACGTGTATTTTTATTTGAATGCATGTTAATAGATGGACTTATCACTCTTGTATTAACTATTATTGTTTTGTGATTACTACTTAAGTGTAAAATTATAACTATAAAATAATTTTAAGTATAAAATCATAACTATAAAATAGGTTTGCTATTCCAATCACTTTTTTTTTTTTTTTTTTTGAGAAAGGGTCTCACTCTGTCACCCAGCCTGGAGTGCAGTGGTGTGATCTCAGCTCACTGCAACATCTGTCTCCCAGGTGCAAGCGATTCTTATGCTTCAGCCTCCCGAGTAGCTGGGTTATAGGCATGTGCCACCACACCCAGCTCTTTTTTTTTTTTTTTTTTTTTTGGATTTTTAGTAGAGACGGGGTTTTCACCATGTTGGCCAGGCTGGTCTCAAATTCCTGACCTCAAATAACCCGCCTGCCTCGGACTTCCAAAGTGCTGGGATTGCAGGCGTGAGCCACCGCTCCAGGCCTCCAATTACTTTATACATGATTTATATACATGTGGAATTTTCCTAGTGATTACTATGATTTAATCTTTGTGATTACTTAATGAAAAGTACGCAGTCTTCCATGAAGTACTCATAGAATTTTCACTGTATAGGAGGCCCAATGCATAACTTAATGTGACCAATAAACAGAGAAATATTTTTGCTAAGCTAAATTTTACAAAACTGTTTACTTTCAAGTTTAATGGTCAAAAGAGAAGACTGTTAAGCTAGACTACCCAAGTTCTAATCTATTTTGTTATTTACTCCCTGTGTAACTTTGGGCAAGTTACTGAACCTATGCCTCAGTTTCTTCACATGTAAAATGTGGATAGTAATAGTACATACTTCAGTAAAATATTGAGTGGAAAAAAATGAGCACCACCTACATCAACGTACAGCCTTATCAAAATTAAGCTCATCAGGAGTAAAAAACATAAACATAAAATCTTTCAGTAAAGAAAAAAATGCAGTTCAAATACAAATGATTAGACATCAGAATAACTTTGAGCTTTTCGATAACAACACTGGAAACAAGATGCAAATGAAACATTCCCTTAAAAATTCTGAGAGAAAATAATTTTCAAGTTGGAATTCTAAACCTGCTTCAAGCATAAACCATATGTGGGAAGATAAATGAAGACATTTTCAGAGATGGAAGGTCTCAAAAATTCTATACCATGAACCCCTTTTTGCAGGAAGATATGGGAAGATCTGCTTACCAAAATGAGACTGTAAAGCAAGAAAAAGAGAGGAATAAGACTGAGTAAACAAAAGATTTATCTTGGAAGCGAAAAAGAGAAAAATCTCTAGAAAGAAGGTAAAAGAAAACCCTAAGCAAGTCTCTCTGCAGCTATTCTATTACAGAGCAAACAATCCAGAGTAGTGGAGAATGTCAGGGGCACCAGGAAGGTTATTTTTTGGGGGGAAAGTGTACCTGTAGATTATCTGTAGTGTTTGATGCCATCAAGAAAGCCTTCCTGTTTTTACAGAAGGCTTGTGGATCAATTAGTCATCATTAAAACAAAAAATCCCTCAATTAAAAAATTACAGCTATCACGAACCTCAAAGAGAAGAAAAGTTGTATAAGAAAATAAGTTGTATAAAGTTATAAGATGCAATTGAGCTAAAAGTTGATTTATAGTTCAAATCAGTATAGATTAAAAAATTACTGAATAAATTCACTGAGAAGATAGAAAAGAAGTATTTGTGTATATATGTGTACATACATGTATGTGGGGACATGACCTAAGGTGATAAATTCTTGTATTTTATAGGCAGAAAGTCAACAAACTATGTTAAAAATCTTAAAATTAACAAATATTCCTGCATATATCACTTATTTAAAAAAATAAGAGTTAGGAAAAAAATTGAAATTTGATTGAAATTGGTGCTTTTTAGATAAGAATTTAGAGACAGGAAGATGAGGTTGGAGATGGCACTTTTGTTCTTGTAAACCTTATATTATTTGCCCTTTAAATAATGTTTATGCATTTTTTCATAAAATTCAAATTGAAGTTCCAAAACTTAATTTGACTTAATAATCATTTTTAGAAAGATAGAAAAATATGAAAACGTGGAGTTTATTACACAGTTGAAGAAATATTTTTTGCCAGACACAGTGGCTCACATTTGTAATCCCAGCACTTTGGGAGACCAAGGTGGCCAGATCACCTGAGGTCAAGAGTTTGAGACCAGCCTGTCCAACATGGTGAAACTCCATCTCTACTATAAATACAAAATTAGCTGGGCATGGTGGTGTGCACCTGTAATCCCAGTTACTTAGGAGGCTGAGGCAGGAGGATCGCCTGAACCTGGGAGGCAGCGGTTGGAGTGGGCTGAGATTGCGCCATTGCACTCCAGCATGGGCAACAAGAGCCAAACTCCATCTCAAATAAATAAATTAAAAAATACGTAAGTAAATAAATATTATTTTTTAAAAAAAGAAATATTGTTATTGGTTAGAGGACCAGTGACCATGTTTATAGGCAGAAGGGAAGGATGTATTAGAGAAAGCAGACTATAATGAAGAAGGGATGTCATTAAACAAGCAAATAGATTGAGTTAAACATCCAGAGTATCTACACAGTGATTCACTAAAGGCCAAATGCAAAACGAAGTCAGTAACACAGAAAAATAATTTAAATTGATCAATTTATTAATAAATTGTATATATAAGTTATATGTGTATATTTCCTTGTGTTTTATCTTGGACCAGGAACAAGGCTACCTTTTTGCTCTAAAACAATTGAAAGAAATTGAATTTATGGACTAAAAAGAAAAATTTGAAATTTTAAGATTTGTGAGATGTAAATTCAGTAATAAAATAACTGCTATTTTGTTGGACATTTAAGAAGAGAACTATTTATTAATGTCTAATTGTTTTCTATTATTATTAAATTGCTCAGCATTTCAAATGGATTCTGTGTGAAAATAAGTACAATGCTGATTTCCTATTAAAAACTGGGCCATTTTTATTTCAACTTTCTTTTTAAGAGACAGGGTCCTGCTATGTTGCCCAGGCTGGTCTCTAACTCCCAGGCTCAAGAAATCCTCCCACTTAGCCTCTTCAGTAGCTGGGATTACAAGCATGAGCCAAAGTGCCTGGCTGCAAATACTGGGACATTTTAAAATAATGATTTGTCCACAATTCTTTTTTCAAGCTAATAATTTCTTAAACTGATGCATGAGGACTTCATTAGTGACCATTAGCACATTAGCACTGTGTTTACTGAACAAGAAAGAATAATTTTTTGTGGTTCCACTTGCCTCTTTATTCCTCAGAATAATTACTGATTTTGGTTGTTATGGTCCTAAGAATAAAAAGTTAAATGATCAATTTATTATATCAGACTCTACACATTAGCATAGACACAATTATAAAAGCTATTTATGAATAATGATAATTTAAAAACATACAAGTATGTCTTTAAAATATATATTATATATATTATACATAATATATTTATATCATTTTATATATATATTTGTCTCAATAATATACTAATTCAATCCCTCTTGAGCATATTTACTTATACAAAGTTGAATTATTGTTTGTTTCTTTTTTTCTTGTTTTAGTAAGATAATTCTTGCTCCTTTTAAGGAATAACAAATGGACTGGTTGAAAGTACAATATACAGGAAGAGTAAAGACAGATACAATTAGCATTCTTATGCATTTCACCATGGAGTACATGGAAAATTGCTTCAGTGTGTCAGTACACAATGATCACAATACATGCAAAATGACTGACGTTTGGAATATAGTAGTCAACCCAAAACAACAAAACCTAAATAATTCATCAACTGTAGAATTACCTACAATTACCCAAAAGACTCCGTGGGATGTGTTTCCAGTGAAATACATCTATTTCCTTGAGTAAACAAAACCACCAGCAAAAAAGAAATTGCTTAATGACATTGGTATTCCAAACAATAGTCCTCTACATGTCTTCTTTTTCTCACGTAGCCAAACAGCTGAATTTTAACTAAACTTGTTTAAAGAGCTCACTTATTAGGGGATTTTAGTTTCTTTTCAAGATAAAAGGAGAAAAGAAAATGTAAGTTCAGATTTTAGAAAAAATACTCTGTTCCTGACACTTTATCATTACTCATCTCAGGTCAGCACTTGACCTCCAAATATTACTGACATAGACAGCGATTTAAAAAATACCAAAGACAAAATAGGGGTTTTGTGAGAGGAAGTACTTAATTTGGAAATCAACTCTCTTCTTTAGAACTGATAGTTGTTCAGACATTTCTACTGGTATCTGACCTTTATTAGCTCCTTCCTGAGTGAAGAGTGGTCCAGTGACTACCTGTGGAGCCACTCAGACACTGGAGATGGGAATTTTTATCCCAGGATTATAGATCAGAAGCTAGGTCTAGAGAAATAAGTGACTTTACCAGGCTTACATTGCAGCTGTCTTGACCTGACTCAGAAAATTTTTCAAGCAGTCAGTTGAGTCCAGTGACAGTCATTTCTTGTTAGACATTATGTACATTTAGAACAGCAGGTCTTGACCCTGGCTGTGCATTAGAATCATATGAACTATAGTGATGCCCTAGGCTCTGGCCCAACCTATTTGATCAGAATCTCTGGGGATGAAGTCCTGGGGCCTTTTAAAAAAATTAACTCCCCATGTAAGTCATATGTGCAGCCAGTTTGACAATGCTGATTTAGAAAAATGTTTAATTAATATTTGATATTTTGAATAGAATGTATTAAGGCAAGATGTTATATTTTCACAGATTTAGTAAAGAATTTTAATTGTAACTAAATTTATATTTTCACATTTGTTATAGGCATATTTTAGCAATAGTAAAATAGCTTAGATTTGTAAAACTTTTCATTAAAAACCAGGGAAAGGAAACTGAATTGTTAGAATCCTGGCCCTAACCTACCTGTATCAATCAAGATAGGCTAGATTTTGCAGAGGTACATATAACCCAACATTCTAGTGACTTACAACAGCAGTTTATTCCTTGTTCAGGCTACCTCTTTATTGTTGGTTAGCAAGGGGCCTCTTTTCAATGAGTCACTCAATGACCCAGGCTGACAGAGGATCATTGAGACAAGCTTCCTATGATCACAAAAGCTGAGGACAGAGTGTGACTGTACAGTGGCTCTTAAGTGATTGACAGGAAGTGACCAACATATCACTTCTTATATTTCCTTGGACAAAGCAACTTACGTGGTTGCACCTGGTTTAGAGCAGATGAAGGATTGAAGTCCTATCATGTAATCAGAACAAGAGAACTGACATTTAGGAGCAGTCCTATCACTACCACACTAGTCTAACTAGTCCTACAACCCCAAGGAGGTAGCTACCAGAAATGCATAGCACAACTTTCAGAGGCAATAGTGTTTAAGACAGTCAGTAAACAGCTATGTGCCAGTCATAGAAAATAGAAATGCATGGGAGACGAAGGGATATAAAACAGAAGGTATGGTAAGTATAAAAGCCCTTGGGAGCTGTATACTATATTGAGGAGTTACATTATTTATGGGAAAATGAATAAAATGGAGAGGCTGTCACAGGCCCAGGACTTTGTAAGTTCTTTTGGTGATTTGTATTTCATAATTATCGTAGTTAACATATATTGAGCACATACCAGGTGCCACTTTTCTAAGTATTTTATGTGTTGAAACTTATATAATTCTAACAATGATCCTATAAGGTATGTGTAATTGTTATTTCCTTTTTATAGATAATGATACTGAGACATTGAGGCAAAATACCTTCTCAACGTAGTGACCTCGTAAGTGGCAGAGGTAGGATTGATCCCAAGTGGTCTGGGCCCTGAGTCCTAATGTTTAATCATACACTGTGTACTAAATAATGGTAGGATTTCAGATATGGAGATGGCCTAAGAGTTACTCAATTCAAGATTTTCTTTTCACAAGTTAACACTATTAAGCAATAACTAAGCTGGACATAGAACCAAAGGCAACTGATATTTACCCCAACGTCTATCCATTGCATATACAGCTCCCTTACCAGTGAAGTAATATTACTTCTTTGAAGCTATCAGAAAAGAGATATCTATCTACAATAAATCTAGGGTGCATGAGGGCAATGAGAGTCAGGCTCAGTGCACTTCCTCCAGGCTTCCAGGTGTGCCCCATACAGGGTACCTGTATGGCTGAACATGTGTGTTGAGACAAAACGCAGCCTGGACACTGCTAGTTAAGATCTATGGCCTGGGTTATTAAAGCCATAGGAAGGAGTGCTTTTTGCTAATTTTAACAGAGCAGGTTTTTTAAAACTCAGTACTATTAACATTTTAAGCCAGATTATTCCTTGTTACAGAGGGCTACCCTACACATTAGCAGCATCTCTGAACTCTATCTGCTAGCTACTAGTAACATCACCCTCCTCTCGCCCTCCTCCCAGTAGCAACAAGCAAAAATGTCTCCAGGCATTGCCAGATGTCCCTGGAGTGAAGGTGATAGGAAGGCAAAAATCACCCAGGTTGAAAACCACTGCTAATAGAGGCATGTTTTACTCAAAAATCTGTGTGTCCCTGGGGCTATCTCTCTCTGCAGAAATGGCCCCTTTTTCTGAATCATATACAGTTTAAGTGGTGGCAGAGAAATTACATTTCTTTGAATTTCTGTTGGCTTCTTCTGAACCCTACTAGCAGCAGCATTACTAACATTTATTTCCTCAAGAAAAGGTGTTTAGAAGATTAAGTAAGTTCAAAGAGTGCATTCTTTCAATCCAAATGATGAATGTTAAAAAATATAGCATGTCATTCCTTAAGAACACTAGCACAGACATGGATATGTGTGCACCAGAGAGGTTCACCAAAGAGTCCTTCTCCTCCATGACAATGCTCCTGCTCATTCTTCTTATCCAATAAGGGCTATTTTGTGAAAGTTTTGATGGCAAATCATTAGCATCCACCTTACAGTCCTGGTTTGGCTTCTCTGGCTTCTTTTTGTTGTCTAATCTTAAACAATTTGGGAAAGGCACGCATTTCTCTTCACTTAATAATGTAAAAAAGACTTCATTAACATGGTTAAATTCTCACAACTCTCAGCTCTTTAGGGGTGGGCTAAGTGGCTGATATAATGTCTTACAAAAGTGTCTCAAAATTGATGTATCTTATGTTAACAAAGAAAGCTTATATTTTTTATTTTTATCTTTTAATTCCATCTTTCCACAAATTTTTGAAGTTCTCTCATGTGTAAACTGATTCCATTTACATTTAAAATTTTCATTATGATAATGCACATTAGAATACAGAGGGAAAAGTCTCTGAAGAGAAACGAGATTGGGAGAGAATGAAAGGGGGGTGTGTGTGTGTGTGTGTGTGTGTGTGTGTGTGTGTGTGTGTGTAGACACATTATATTGCTTAGTTTTCATATTTAAAAGTAATATAGTAGCAAACTTCATTAAACATGATAAATGACATCTTTGTGGGCTAGAATGGAAATGGATCTATAGGTGATTTAAAAGGGTCCTATTCAGATGTATGGAATTATTATTTAAGTCCGATAAAAGACAAGCATTAAGCTTTTTCTGTCTTTTAAAGGAAATGGACATTCAATCATTGCAAATAAGCAAAGGGTGTTTACTAGAGTTCTAGTTTTCAAAAATGATCTCTCACAGAGTGACACTTCTCTTTTCTTTTGATAATAAAAATATACTTTTCTTGCCAATATTCCAAAAAAATGAGAATTTTTATTGTATTTAACTTCAATTCCAGATAAATTTTTAAAATGCCATTCTGACAAATGTAAGAGGTCAGGTTTCTAAGTGAAAGCACGATAGAAGTGACCGGCATAGTGTACATGGTCTTCATACTAGACAAAGAAGATTCAAATTAGGTTTAAAAATATAATTAAAAATACTTATTAAACAAAAATGGATATAAAACTTATATTTTAATAAATTATCATTGCCTAGGAGCAGGGTATTAATAAACTCTAAAAATTTCTTCTATTATTCGTAATTCTTTAGAGTTTTAGAATAATCAGTTCCACAATGCTTAGATGAATGAGTATTTTCAAAATAATAAATGATCTCAATAATAAAAGCTCTTTCAAGGTTAAGTTTTTAAAAGCAGGGGAAAAATGCTTCTTTTCTTGTGTATGTTTGAGTTTAACCTTGAACAAACCAGCTAATCATTTTCTATTCCAACATCTTTACATTGGATGGACACAGAATGATTTTATTCACCTGGGCTTTCTCTGCACTTGGGAGTCAGCTGAGTCATCTGGCTTCTTCCTACTCATGAGAGGCAGGTTTTATCTTGTTAGCTTTATTCACCTTGAAAATGCAGCACAACTATGGCTATGCGTATGTTGGTCTTCCTGGATGACTCAAGCATACAAAGCATACAATTGGGAAAACAAAAAGTTCACACATTCTGTTTCTACTTCAATTAACAACTGTATTATAAACTGACAGATAACTAATGAAATATAATGGTTATGGAAACATAATAGCTCAATCGAATGGGTTGCAATTAAAAGCTTATCATTGCCCACTTTTGTTATTCTGTGGTGCTCTGAAACCTCTAGAATGTAATTAATATTTCATACAATTCATAGCTTCTAAATGAATTTTTACATTACATCAATGGGCAAAAATTAATTAACAATCATCAACAGACTGCATAGGAATGTCTTGTTTACAGAAAGATTATTGTCCAACTCAACTTTAGACAAATAATTACCTGCTACACACTAGGGAGAATTTACAGTATTATGGAGACCTCCACATGGATGACTTTTTGAGTGAATTATTGTTAAACAAACTGTTAGAGAGTTGAAAACCCTTGTCCTACATGTAATAGCAATTAGGAGAGTTAATTAATATTCTATGTAGAATACTGGTGAGAAATATAGTATTCAAGGTACTACTGCTGCAATGAAGGATGTGTAGAAGTTTGTCATAGCCCAGTATGATATTATCACTTTCTTTAATTAAAAGTAATATTTCCTTTAAGAATCTAGAACCATTTAAGGTCAAAAACCATTATTACTATTTATTGTTTTTAAACCTCTTAATCACTCAATATTATGCAACCTATTTTTTTTTGCAAAAAGTTATCGCCTCCTTAAGTTGGAACTATTTTTATGATAGGCAGATATAACCCAATGCACATTTTTAGGCTGCTGGATTTTGTATAATATTTTTCTAAATATGCATCAAATAACCAAGATAAATCCTTTCTGAAATATGGCAGGGAGTAGATAGATGGATGGGAAGATAGACAAATAGCAGATAGATAACAGATGATTAGGATGCTGGCTAGGTAGATGACAGACACTTCCTACTTTCTTCAAGACAGCATTCCAGACCTGAGAAGCAAAACTGAAGATGCAATCATAGAAAAAAATCATAGGTTTCTAATTGTACAATTATATAACTCCTTCTACTATACCTTAAGAAAGAAAATGTATTAACCATTACGACATTGGCATATGCATGAAAAATAACACACTATATGGTATTAAATCCTTTAGTAATTTTAATATTTTTAATCTGGTTCTTAAACATTTGGCAATTGAATCTCTCTGTTTGAATTTATGAACTTAATCTGCTATGGCTAATGTCCCCAGTAGGAACTTTAAAACTGAAAAAACATATCTGTATTTTTGTAAACATTGATCTTTGAAATAGTTCAGTGTAAACCTGATCCCCCTGTGAATTTGCTGCATGCTATTCTAGGGACTTACAATAACTCAAAAGTGTATGTGCTCTTTTTTGAACATTATTACAGGATCCTCTAAGACTTTACCTTTGAACTTGCAAGATTTATGTTCTATGTGTATCTCACAAATGACTCCCAAAGTTCTAGTCAGAGTTAGTAAAGTCTGTCCCTCGAGCCTTGGCATATGCGGAAATAGTTGTAGAGGGCCCATAACATCATTCAAACCTTGTCTAGATTCTCTGCAGCAGAAACATTAGAAAATAATTCTGACCTTGAGTCCAACCAGCCACAACTGATTTACGTGACAGTGTAATTATAGGCATCCAGGAGAATTAGTTGTTTCAATTACAATACCATGTAGATGAGCCAAGGCTGACTAGTTTGATCAAAAGATAGAGAAAAATATTGGAAAAATTCTCTTCTAAGCAGAAGACCCAGCTTCAGTCACTTAAATACCCTTTAGCTTTTTGTCCTAAACTAAATCCTCACACCTAATTTATAATTTTATCACAGATTATAGAATAAAAACCTTTGCTAAAACAAAAAAAAAATGTAGCTAGCACTTGCCTTGATCTGCAAAGCATGTCACTCTGTCATTGGAGATTAATTTATATATTAATCTGATTGACTCTGTTCTCTAAAAAGTCATGTTCATTTTAACCAGGAACTTATGTCTTTAAGATGTTAGCAAGTGGGATTTTATAATGCATTGCTCCCATTTGTTCTTGTTTTCATGGTGAGTTGAGCCCACAGGCCTCTCTCTCTAGTTGAATCCTTTTCTCTTTTTCTTTCTTTTTCTCTCTCTCTAAAGTTCTATCCTTCTGTGTCTTTCAAAGTAGGCCATTTAGTCATAACAAATGATGAATATGGTTATATCCAATTCTAGATATAGATTTAACTGTAATATATATTAAAGCCTTGCTTCTCCCTAATTCACACTAGAAAAATCCTCATTTGGCAAGAATCTAGAGGTTTAACTTTCACCATCAACAACAGCTGAGTGTTTATTGAGCATTTACTGTGTGCTCTCATTATTATATACAAGAAATAGGTTAATAAAGTTTTCTTGAGGAATTTACAATCTGGATAGGAAAATTGTACAAACTTTTTGGAACAATTAGTACATAATACGGCCATATTTAAAAGTAATTAAAGATGAATCTTAAAAACATCTGTAGGCCACTATAGAAAACTTCTGTTTTCTAGAAAATTAATTTTAACCTTAGTTTAATCGATTCCTCTATGTCATTTGGTACCAGCAGTAGCAGCCTCTCCAGAGGCATCAGGTAATGGCCAGGGTGATAGAGAACATAGCTTTTGTACCTTGTTCATAATTATAATTTATATTATAAATATAAATATAGGGAGAACAACAAGTCTCCTAACTATCTATAGCCATGGGACTATAAGAACCATATTTTTTCTATGGTTTTTGTAAACAGAAGTTGTATATTTTGATGTTTCTGTCAAGTTGCCCTTTAAGGGACTCATATTCCATTGGTTGAATTCTTATTCTTATTCTTGATGCGGAGATTTTGAAACTTCAGAGTATACACACATTCCTGAACAGTTTGTTCAATATGGTAATTGACAGCCTTTACCCACAAAGACTGAACTATAAGTTGTGGGAGCAGGAATCTGCATTTTAAACAAGTACTTCCTATGATTCTTATATAAGTGTCTTTCAGATCATGCTCTGAAATTCAAGGTTTTAGTAACTTTGGTACTCTATGATATTTCTAATTAGAGGAGCCACCTTTGACTGATTGCCTCTGCATCCATGGCTTCTACAGGTCCCACCTCAAAACCCATTACCTGCTTGTGTAACTGCATTTATCTGTACTGTCAGATTAGGAACTCAAGTGGCACTTAGACTGAAATACCAGGGGTTCTCAGGACCCAAGGATCTGCCAGAGATCAGCAGGACAAATCCATAGAGATGGATTCAATGGCAAGTGGTGAGAGACAATGTAGACATTCAAACAGAGTCCAGGAGACAAGAAGGTGAATGCAGCCATCCTCGCAGACAGAGGTCAGCACCTGTCACATTAAAATAATTACACAGAGTGACATGGGGGTTTCACACAAGTCAATGGGAAAGGCACTTTCTCCTACTTTCTATTTCTTCCTATTATATATTGCTTATTGTTAACCTGTATCCACCCACTCCTCCCAAATAGAGTAACCTTCAAGGGAGCCTCCACTTTCTTATTTACTGCTGTAACTCTCAATGCTTAAATGTGCATGCAGCATCTAGTGTTTGATTAAAAAGAAATTGTTCAATGGAATAATATTTATAAGTAGTAAGGACTTTGGAATGCTTATCAAAATGACAGATGCTTAGTATTCTAATGGACTTTATAACAACTTACTAGCGCTATACATCCAAAATTGAGTCATCTCCTACCAATATATTTCCCTATTGACATTTCTCCAAAGACAATGGCTCTAAGAGCCATTATTTTCTGATGAAGCCCATTTCATATTTGGAACTTCTTACTATTAGATAGCTCTTCCTTCTAGTTACTAAAAACCTACCTCTTTGTACCTTGTGTACTTTGGCCCTAGTTCTGCCTGTCAGATCACGACTCTCACACTAGACCTCTCTTCTTTGTGGTATCTGTTCATATCTTGACACCTGGCTTTTAATTTTGTCACTCTTATCCAAAATCTTCTCCTCAAAATTAAACCTCCTCAGTTGTTTTGATCATTCTTTATAAAACATGACTAACATTATGTAATCATTCTTATGGCTTGCCTGCAGAGCTTCTCTTTTGTCAACATTTGTCTAAAATCTAGACAGCTAGATTTTGAATCAATGATGCAGGCATGATCTGAGAAATATGCTGAGAGGAATAGGACTCTCACAACTTATTTCAGCAATTCTCCTTATGTGAACTCGTCTCACAATTGCATCAGTTTTAGTTACTTATTTTTTTCCATCCAAGTTATAGTCTAGAATCATACTGAGCTAATTGTTAATTAAAGGCTATTTACTCTCCCACTGTATTTATGGTTACTCTAAGCACTTGTGAGGAGATAAAATAATATGTAATATATATTTAAAATGTATATCTGTCTGCAAAAGCTATCAACCTTTTATAAGAAAAAAAGTATTTAAAATATTTTGTAAAGGCTATTCACCCCATCCATTATTTCAGATACTCAAAAGGCTATCCTCAGATTACTGCTGGTCATCGGCAAGCTGCATGCATGAACTGCAATGAACTGGATCCACATGTATTTCTTTTTTTTTTTTTTTTTTTTTTTTTTTTTCAGATTTTCTGAATTTATTTTTTGTTTAACATGGTTTAAAAATGTATTTTTTTTAAAAAAGAATGGGGGTCAGCCCTGGCTGATAGTCAGCTGCAGGCCCAGTAGAGCTAAACAGGTTGTTGATATCAGCATCATTTCTCATTGGTCAGTGCCCAGACAGAATCAGCTGAAGTAGTGCATGTAGTGCATTTAGGGCATATGGTGAACTTATACTTGCTTTATTTGATGTAATATGAATTGTTACAACATGTTTTAGTCACAGATCATAAGAGTAGCACACTTCAGTTTCAATGATGCATTATTCACTTCAGATAGGAAAAAAAGGTGTTTGCTAAGAGCTCTACATCCTTTTCTTTTTTTAACCTTTATTTTAAGCTCAGCGGTACATGTACAGGTTTGTTACATAGGTTAACTTGTGTCATGGGGGTTTGTTTTACAGATTATTCCACCACCCAGGTATTAAGCCTAGTACCTGTTAGTTATTTTTCTTGATCCTCTCCCTCCTCCCATGCTCCAGCCTCCAATAGGCCCCAGTGTGGGTTGTTCCCCTTTGTGTGTCCACGTGTTCTCGTCATTTAGCTCCCACTTATAAGTGAGAACATGGTTCGGTATAGACTTCTTATTCTGAGTTGAATTTTAGTGCAATGCCATTGTCCAGTACAAGAAACTCTGTATGTAACCTATGAATGGATTTTTTAAAATGTTGTTGAGGATATCTTTTATTACATTGCAGAGCCCCTTCTTTTAGATAGATCTTGAGTTTATTTGGGCACAGGGGCAGGGTTAATACATAGAATAGTTATTATTTTAATTGTCTTCATTTTACCTTATGATCGATTTCTGGTAATTGCAGAACTGATAATGTTTCCAGTTTCCCATTTGTTTTTAAAAAACTTACAATCAAATTTATAGCTCACTTTTAGCAAATGAAAAATTTCATGACATATATTTGTGATGTTGGCCTAATTCCTGGTTTCATTTCCTGTTCTTATAATTTTTCCCTAATGTTCTTCTATTGTTTACAACAAACTGCTTCTGAAAGCTCTGTCTCATCACCTCTGCCAACCTCTGGTTTCAGTTGCAGCTTCATAGGATCTTAGAATCCCTTGGTGCTACATATTTTTCTTGCTGCCTTGGAGACTTCCTGAACCTTGGGAAACAGAGATTTATTCAGAGGTGTATATAATTGACCTAAAGTCAGTTCAATCAAAGAGAATTTCAGGTGAATCCTAATAAATATATTGTCTTGCAGAATTCTCATAATTTTATCATATTGACTCTACAGTGTGTGTAGCCCAGAGTAAGTACTCAATAAATATCAATTATTTAAATTAGTATCAAACAGTCCCATTACTTGAAACAGTATGTATAGATTCATGATATTCAAAGTGATCTCAGTCCAAACCTCTTTTCTGAATTGCAGATATACATATTTAACTCTTTTATATTCCTACTCGGAGAAAAATCATAAGATGTTAAACTTAAGCTGTCTAAAACTACACCATTAACTGATTCACTTACTAAGTTTCTCCCACCCTCATAATTAGCCATCTCAGTAAAAAAACACCAACATAGATCCATTGACAAAGATCAAAGCTAGTTAGGATCATCATTATTTTCTCCACTTACTTCCTTACCAACTTCCAAATGTGTAGCAATTTCTTACGGTTCTACAGCCAAAATCTACCTCAATATTCACTTTTTTTTTTTTTTTTTTTTTTTTTTTTTTTTTGAGATGGAGTCTCGCTCTGTCACCCAGGCTGGAGTGCAATGGCACGATCTCAACTCACTGCAAGCTCCGCCTCCCGGGTTCACGCCATTCTCCTGCCTCAGACTCCCGAGTAGCTGGGACTACAGGCGCCCACCACCACGCCCGGCTAATTTTTTGTACTTTTAATAGAGACGGGGTTTCACCGTGGTCTCAATCTCCTGACCTCATGATCCGCCCGCCTCGGCCTCCCAAACTGCTGGGATTACAGGCGTGAGCCACCGCGCCCAGCCCTCAATATTCACTTTTATTCATCTTCTTAGCCACTTGCCTACTCCAAGTTACCATAAGATTGCACCCAGATTTCGGCAGTAACAACCTACATGGTCTTTTCAAGCAGCTAGAGGAATCTAAGAATGTGATCCCATGGCACCCAGCTGCTTAAAATGCCATCAATAGTTTCCCACCACTGGAAATTCAAACTTTTTCCCAGGACAAATGGCCTCCATTATCTGATTCAACTTCATCTTTCACCAAAGTTAGTGATGTTCACTAAGATCTAGCCACACTGGCTCACTACAGAATCCTAGGACAATTCATTTCATTTTCTAAAAAGTCTGCATAAAGCTTTCTTTGTCAGGCTCCATGAATGCCTGTTCCTTACATTGTATAGATGTCATCAGTGTTACCTGCCCTCTCTCTTCTTTTTGTTATATATATTTAGAGAGTAGTATAAACTTCCTCTATAGCACTTATTTTATATAACATGATTTTATATAACATAATTTTATTTGTTTGTTTTCAAATTGTCAGTCTTCTCACTGTAAATTTAAGGTTCATGGAGGGACCATGAAATCCCTAGTGACAAGCCTAGTGGCTGTTACATAATAAGCCTTCAATAAATTTTACATGGATAAATAAATAATCCTGCTCACTGACCATTTTCCACAAAGATATTTTCACATAAGTTGAACATATTTAATTTTACATACTATATGCTTTCTTCAACTAACCTTGAAGAAGATAGACAACCTGCTTTTTACAGACTTATTAATATTTCAATCATATTCTATAGTTTTTGCTTTGTATATGAAGGGGAAAAGTGTATTAATCCTACAAAGGTCTAGAGATAAACTCCAGTTTGCAATTCCATGTGGCAGATAAAATTCCAAAGCATACACCTAGTCTTTTAAAGCAATAAAGTCTATAAAATGGATAACATTAATGAAATTTAAGAAAAAGAAGAGGTTATTCTTACTAAAGATCTCAGGAAAATTTTCTTTTTATTAAAAAAAAGGTTAAACAAGCTTTGTAACAGAACTAGTATTTAGATATTTGGAATTAAAAATAAAGGTTTTTACAGGCTAGGGAAGCACTATAAAAATAGTTATGGTAACTATTGTATTTTCTGTTGAAAATGGATTCCTACTAAATATACATCATAAATAAAAATTAAATACATTTCATATTGATTCATTTTGTATATCAAGTAAAATAGATTTTTTTGGTTCATATCAATTATGATTTATAGTGTTACCTCATCTTTCAATAGCTATGTGAGCATAGCACATGGTATTATTCAATTTTCCACTTGATGAAAGTTAACTTTATTTTAAAATGTTTCTTCTTACAAATAACATTCTTACATGTAAAGTCTAATAGTTTTCTTCAGTAGAGCCTTTAATTATAAGGAAAAACAAAGCAACATGTCAAACAAAGTCATTTCAAAAAATAAGAACAGACTAAAATATATTACAAAATTACAAAAAGAATCAGAATAAATAATTGGAAAGAGAAGAAAACTCTTGTTCATTTATTCTCTTGGTTATAAAATCTCTTTCACATTTTCTTATATGAAATCACATTTCCCTATTAGAGGATGGATAGTATTTTACTCTTAGTCATATGTATAATAACGTAAGGAAATAAAAAAATTTTACTATCCACAGTAAGTTACAGGGAGAATATTTCCTCTTGGATATAGAAACTTAAATACAATTTTATGTGTGTATGTGTGCGGGTGAGTATGAGTGGGTGGGAATGATTGAGGAAACAGTTTGCTAATTAGCCTTAATATTAAGGAACAAAATGACAATTTTGCATAAGGCAAAATTTCTTCTACTCATCTCATAAGTCTTAAAGTTCAGTTATGGAGTTGCATATGTATTGAATTGTGTAGTGTGCCCCGCCCCCCCAAATTCATATATTCCATAATACATCATACCTTATTTGGAAGCAGTGTAATTGAAACACAGGTTCAGTTACACACTGCTTTCACAGTCCAGTTAACAAGAGTGAAGTCTGATATAAGGAAAATGACTTTTCACTTAAAAGCTGTTTAGGGGAATTACTGAGTTCCTGCCTTAAGGGTACCATCTTGCTTTTAGAGCAGAAAGCAGGCACTATTAAAAGGGGACCTGGCATAAATGGCACACAGGGGAGGAATTGAGCCAATGAGGGTATGCATAACTTGTTTCGGTGCCTTAACTACTGGGTGGTCGTGCTGGTGACTACTGGAGCTTTTATAGGCAGGACTAGGTTGTAAAAGTGGCTGAAAACTCTCCAGGTGGGAGAGAGTTTTGTAGTGGGCATACTTTGGGTTGAGGCAACCTCCTGGTGGGAGAGAGTTTTGCCCTGAAGCTTCTAAACACATAGTTAGATAAACTTGCCCTGTAGGTAGTGTCTGCTGAATGGCAGGTAAAAGGTTATAATTGCATTTTTACTCTTTTTTTTAGCCAAAAGGCTGAGAAGTGATATAATAGCATTTCTAAAGAGCTAAGTAGGAAGTAGGGAAAAGGAGGAAAGAAAAGAGAGAAAAAGTAATTAAACCATCTCTTAGAAAAATGGAGGTACTCAGTTACAGCAAGGTGCTATAAGCATAATTAGTTAATGTGAGGTGGTAGTGGATTGGAGTGAGTGGGTCACAATCCAATAACTAAGGTATTTCTAAAAAAAGAACCCAGAGACACACGGATACACAGAGGAGGAGGCCATGTGAGAACAGAGGTAGAAATTACAGTGATTTGTCTAAAAGTAAACACCAAGGATTGCCAACAACCACTGACCAAGAAGGCTTTAATATTCCCCTCAGCTTGACTAAATGTTAAATTTCTTTCTAACTATAGGGCTGTGACATCCTTTTTCTTAGAGCATTTACTTTAGAAAACTTGCAAATGAAAGTTATTTATTTGACCATTTGAGATATAAATCTCCTTCCAGCTTATTGCCAGTTTTACAACTCAGGGATATCTTTCTCAAGGACCTGGAAACTATCCCTTTGAAATGAAATTTGATAATGGCTCTGTATACCAGTCTTCCTGGGAGGGTAGGAGCCTAACTTTGATAAGCACCAATTAGCAACACAGGTGGGGCCTAACCACATTGACTATCTTCTCACCTAATGTACTTTAGAACTGTACTACTAGCTCACCCCAGGGCTTAAAACCCTTAGGCTTTTTATTTTAGCATAATTTAGTTCAATCTTTCTTTCCTATTGCAATTCTTGACTCCTATTCAATAGTCTTGAATAAGATATTCTTTGCCCGTTTAACTGGTTCCAGTGCAGTTTTTCTTTGCACACTACCAGAAGGTACAAAGAGACATAAAAATATCCTTACCTAGTGCCTTTAGAGAGAACGTGGCCCTGATAACATCTTTTTTTTTTTTTTTTTTTTTTTTGAGATGGAGTCTCGCTCTGTCGCCCAGGCTGGAGTGCAGTGGCGGGATCTCGGCTCACTGCAGGCTCTGCCTCCCGGGTTCATGCCATTCTCCTGCCTCAGCCTCCCAAGTAGCTGGGACTACAGGCGCCCGCCACTACGCCCGGCTAATTTTTTGTATTTTTAGTAGAGACGGGGTTTCACCGTTTTAGCTGGGATGGTCTCGATCTCCTGACCTCGTGATCCGCCCGCCTCGGCCTCCCAAAGTGCTGGGATTACAGGCGTGAGCCACCGCGCCCAGCCCCTGATAACATCTTGATTTCAGACTTCTAGCTTGCAGAATTGTGGACAGTACATTTCTGTTGTTATAAGCCATCCATTTTTTTTTTACTGCTTTCTTACAGCAGCCCTAGGTGACAAATACTATATGTAACTATGTAGATCTTTTCTAATGATAAGCTTATTTCATGTAAATTATAAGAAGCTTCATACCACCTTATACTGATGAAATAAATATTTCCTGTTTTCGATCTTGTCAAATATATATATAACATTTGAAATTTTTAAGAATTTATATTGAGTAAACTGTATGCTTCTATTTGAAATGATACCTAACAACACATTAGAAATTCAAGAGAACATCTGAATACTTGACAGTTTTGTTTTGGTTTTGGTTTTGGTTTTAGAGGTGGGGTCTTGCTCTGTAACCCAGGCTATAGTGTAGTGGCACAATCGTGACTCGCTGCAACCTTGAACTCCTGGATTCAAGTGATCCTCATGCCTCAGCCTCTGTGAAGCTGGGACTGCGGGTGTGCACTACCACACCTGACTAATGTTTTTAAGTTATTTGTATAGATAGGGTTTTGCTATGTTGCCCAGGCTGGTCCTGAACTCCTGGCCTCAAGCAATTCTCCTGCCTTAGCCTCCCAAAGTGTTAGGATTACAGGCATGAACCACTGCACCCAGCATTGATGCTTTTTAATCGAAGTTTTAAAAGGAGAGTCCCCTCATCAGCTTTCTACAAAAGCAAAATTTCTTTTAATGAAAAATATTCACTAAACTTCACTGATGATTAATGGCAGAAGATAAATTTGAACTGTGTATTAACTGAACCCCAAACTGAAGTCCACAAGAAACACCCCACTTTTAACACTTTTCTATAAATCAGTTATAATCCATTTTGCAATCATTGGAGGATCCCATTCATTTATCTTGTTCACAGCCTAGAAATCAAGAGACTATGGAAATGTAGAAAATATTCTCAATTTTCATTGGAAAAGTGATAAATAGGCCTCTAATAACCACTACTTCATAGATGACCCTGACATCTTCATGGTACAAGCTTAAAGTGTTCTCTTGCCCTGTAGTGTTTGTCTACATCCTGCAACAAATGATAAGTTCTCTTCCTTTTCCTTTGCCAATTTCACAAACTCTTTCATGGGGCATAATATAGTCCCTGACAAGCTTAAGACCTTTTAACAATATAGTCAACCACTTTCCAGTTTCTCAGAATCACTCCTTTCTCATTCCCTTAAAATGTACCCTTCTCTCAATGAAAGGAAAAGTAGATACAAATTTTCATTTTGGCCTTACATGGAAGAAAAATTTCCCAAAAGTCTTGGCCACCATCTTAAAGTGGGAGAGGTAATGAGAAAAAAAAGACAGAGATAAATCATAAATTAATGTCCTAATAATTAAACTACTTCAAAGTTCCAACAAAGAGTAATACATCCAAGGATAGAATGAAGAAAGGACAACATATGATAAGAGCCTTGGGGAAAGAGAAAATAATGTTACAGAAAAAAAAAAGATTACGTATAAAAACCTCAAAATATCCTCCATATTCTTGACATATGTCATAGATATTTACTGTGTTTAGATATTGATATGGTTAGGCTTTGTGTCCCCATCCAAATCTCGTCTTGAATTGTAATCCCCATAATCCTCACATGTCAAAGGAGAGACCAGGTGGAGGTAATTCAATCGTGGGGGCAGTTTCCCCCATGTTGTTCTCATGATAGTGAATGAGTTCTCATGAGATCTGAAGGTTTTACAAGTGGATATTCCCCCTTTGCTCAGCAGTTCTCCTTCCTGCTGTCTTGTGAAGAAGGTGCCTTGCTTCCCTTTCCACCATGATTGTAAGATTCCTGAGGCCTCCCAAGCCATGCTGAACTGTGAGTCAATTAAACTTCTTTCCTTTATAAATTACCCAGTCTCAGGCAGTTCTTTATAGCAGTATCAAAACAGACTGACACAGTAAATTGCCACTGCAGAGAGTGGGGTGCTGCTATAAAGATACCTGAAAATGTGAAAGCAACTTTGGAACTGGGTAACAGGCAGAAGTTGGAACAGTTTGGAGGGATTAGAAGACGACAGATGTGGGAAAGTTTGGAACTTCTTAGAGACTTGTTGAAATGGCCTTGAGCAAAATGCTGATAGTGATATGGAAAATGAAGTTCAGGCTGAGGTGGTCTTAGATGGAGATGAGGAACTTGTTGGGAACTGGAACAAAGACGAATTTTGCTGTTTTAGCAAAGAGACTGACATTTGGCAGAAGAAATTTCTAAGCAACAAAGTATTCAAGAGGTGACTTAGGTGCTCTTAAAAGCATTCAATTTTATACATTCTCAAATAGATGATTTGGAATTGGAACTTCTGTTTAAAAGGAAAGCAGAGCATAAAAGTTTAGAAAATTTCAGCCAGACAATGCAATAGAAAAGAAAAATCCACTGTCTGAGAAGAAATTCGAGCCAGCTGCAGCCAGCTGCAGGAATTAGCATAAGTAACAGGGAACCAAATGTTAATTGCTGAGACAATGGGGAAAATGTCTCCAGGGCATGTCAGAGGTCTTGAATCACAGGCCTCCCATCACAGGCCCAGAGGCCTAGAAGGTTTTGTGGCTGGGCCCAAGCCCTTGCTGCTTTGCGCAGTCTCAGGTCTTGATGCCCTGCTTCCCAGCCATGGCTAAAAGTAGCCAACATACAGCTCAGGTCATTGCTTCAGTGGGTGCAAGCCCCAAGGCTTAGTGGCTTACACAGACTGTTGGGCCTCCAGGTGCACAGAAGACAAGAATTCAGTTTTGGGAACCTCTGCATAGATTTCAGAAAATGTATGAAAATACCTGAATGTTCAGGCAGAAGCTTGTTGCAGGGGTGGAGCCCTCATGTAGAACCTCTACTAGGGCATTGTGGAAGGGAAATGTGGGGCTGGAGCTCCCATGCAGAGTTTCCACTGGGACACTGCCTAGAGAAGCTGTGAGAAGAAGGCCACCATCCTCCAGACCTCAGAATGATAGATCCACCGACAGCTTGCACTGACAGCATGTGGCTGGAAAAGCCACAGACTCTCAATGCCAGCCCACGAAGGCAGCTGGGAATGGGGCTGTACCGTGCAGTGCAACGGAGATGGAGCTTTCCGAAGCCATGGGAGCCCAACTGTTTTATCAGCACAACCTGGATATGAGACATGGAGTTGAAGGAGATCATTTTGAAGCTTTAAGATTTGACTGCCCTTCTGGATTTCAGAATTGCATGGGGCCTGTAGGTCCTTCGTTACGGCCAATTTCTCCTATTTGAAATGGGTATATTTACCCAATGCCTGTACCTTCACTGTATCCAGGAAGTAACTAACTTGCTTTTGATTTTACAGGCTCATAGGTGGAAGGGACTTGCCTTGTTTCAGATGAGACTTTGGATTTGGACTTTTGGGTTAATGCTGGAATAAATTAAGACTTTGGAGGACTGTCTGAAAGAAATGATTAGTTTTGAAATGTGAAAGAAATATGAGATTGGGAGGGGCCAGGGCAGGATAATATGGTTAGACCTTGTGTCCCCACCCAAATCTCATCTTAAATTGTAATCTCCATAATCTCCATAATTCCCACATGTCAAGGAGGAGACCAAATGGAGGTAATTGCATCATGGGGGCAGTTTCCCACATACTATTCTGGTGATAATGAGTGC
Organism: Homo sapiens; assembly: GCF_000001405.40. Taxonomy (NCBI): domain Eukaryota; kingdom Metazoa; phylum Chordata; class Mammalia; order Primates; family Hominidae; genus Homo; species Homo sapiens. Next base: position 115,337,214 of record NC_000006.12, read on the forward strand.
TTTTCATGAGATTTGATGGTCTTATAAGTGGCTCTTCATCTTTTGCTTGGCAATTCTCCTTCCTGCCACCTTGTGAAGAAGGTGCCTTGCTTCCCCTTCACCTTCTTCCATAACTGTAAGTTTCCTGAGGCCTCCCAGCCATGCTGAACTGTGAGTCAATTAAACCTCTTTCATTTATTAATTAATTATGCAGTCTCGGGCAGTTCTTTACAGCAATATGAAAATGGACTAATGCAGATGTTTAGAATAGATAGTGTTAAAAGACCTGATAATTGAGAAACTTATATATATATACATATATATATATATACATATATATATACACATATATATATATACATATATGTATATATATATACATATATATATACATATATATATATATATATATGCATGAGCATACACACAGAACAGACAGATATGCACATTTCATTAAATAGTATTTTCAGTATTTGGATAAACTGAAGAATAATTATATAATAAACCTTTTAAAACATTGTGTTTGGTTGGAGATTGTAGATGTGTCTCTTCTATAACTAAAATTGCAAACTTACCCTAAGCTAATTTTCATACACTCATGTTTTTATTCAACCAATATTCCACTTTAATTTGATTATCTTTAAAACACTGTAAGAGGAGTACAGAAATATTTTCTAATCAAAAGCTTATAGAGAAATCGTATGTTGTTCCATTTGCTCTTACTAAGATGGCAATATTATAGTGACTAAATTTCTCTGATTTGATAAAGCATATAATTTTGTCAAAAATTTTACTTGTCTAATTACTATCATTAGAAGATTTGTGGAGGTTAGCAACTCTTGAGCACAAAATTTAGAAAGTAGGAAATGAGCTTGACCAGGTCAAGAGATTTAAAACTCAGAAACTCTATTATTTTATAATGAGCAAAGAGACAGTTTGGTTTTATAGATAGAATATTAGATATGAAGGGAATCAAAAGTCATATTTCTGACTGCTATTTTGCACACCATCATAATTTAATCAGTTTACAATTTTATAGTCACTGCCTTTATTTGAGTGGTAATTGCTTTAAACTCTTTGGGTACTGGGATTTTGACACAAACACATGTAGATAATAGCCGTTACCTAAGTTTTCCATAATATGGACATATCAATGAGTGTAAAAAGTCTACCCCTCAATAGCTCTTTTTTTCTTTTAACTCCTGCTACTGAATGTGGGTCCATTTAAGCTATCTCTAGAGCAGGATCCTGGAGAACAGAGAAGTACTCCTTCCGTAAGTTAGTGACACTTGATTTTTCCTAAATTACTTTTTTCTCTGAAAGGTAAATGGATAGTAGATTATATCCCAGCTGGCCAACGACTGATACCCTAGTGGGGCTGCCTCCTCCCACAGTCAGAGTTTTCCAGAAAAATGCTGTCAGGGCCTTAATGTTTTTGTCTGGGAAGTATTGTGAGGCTTTGGATTTAAAGAGTAAAATAAAGTCAAAATATCAAGATCTTTCGGGTGTGTCAACCAAATATGGCAGCTCCATGGCTTTATTTAGGCACTTCTCACCTCTCTGGGGTGTAGGGAAACTGTATCAAGGTAAATATCTAGGTCACAGTATTTGATTTTTCATTCTCCCCACAACCCCACTTCAAGTGTTGTAAAAGTCTTTACCTCAGCAGGGGCTAAATTATAGAGCAATATCCTTCCCTGATTGCATTTTGTGGATTTCCATGTTCTATATTTTGCTTTTGAGGGTTGAGGAAAAATCATGGTCTTAATGGAACTCTGAGTTCAAGGTCCCACTCTATGAAGGTTTCTGCCAGAATCCTTTAAATCCCCCAATGATACAGGGTAGAGCAGAATTGCTTCCTCTAGTTTTTCCCTACCACTGGCCCGGCCTTTCAGTCATTCAAGTAACAAAATCCAGGGCATTTTCTTATCCCTAAAAATGATTACTAACTATACACACTCATTTATAATATCTAATGCTCTCAACTGTTTAGGGCATTAACAAAAAAAGTTTAGTAATTTCTGAGTTAATTTTTGATACACTTTGTTACACTGATCCCATGATCACAGGGTACATTATGAGTCTTGAAATAAATTTTAGAAATTTATTGTTTTCATATAAGTGTATCTTTTTGTCTGCATTATCTATTAAAGGAAGTCAGGAATACCAGCAAAAACCAGAAATGCAGATTAATTTAAGAGAAGTTACAGGACAGAAGTCTACTCTACTATATATACAAATTTAATATGATCCAGAAATTATCAACACATAGGTAGGATTACTGAAGTGGTAATGAGGAAATTGATTATTAACAAAGTAAGAAAACTATAGGATTCTCACCTCATATTAAAGAAGGAAACTCACACCGTCTAACTAAAAGAGACAAATGTTATACCTCAGCTTATGAAGGTATATGGAAATATACACAAACATTGTTAGATGAGAAAAAATTTCTAATAAATTTCTGAAGGCAAAATAATAGCTTAAATTTCTTACAAATTTAAAATTTCTGCATGTCCAAACAACAAAAAGGCAGTCAACATATTGGAAGTATATATTGTCCCTGACTACCTGACTAGGAGCTAATAATACTTGGTTTGAACTTTGACGATTTTAATGGACTTTATTAAATTTTGTCAGTATCTAAATCCTCCTCTGATGTTTAAGGAATTTCTCACTCTAATGACTCATGCTATGGAAGCCAAATACTTGATTTTTCCCTCCTCCTACCAGCTAGTTCACAATACTACAACTCAGGCTTGTCCCTTGTCCTATCATTCACACCAATGTGAGGTATTGATTTAGGAGCTGATTACTCAGCAAAGTGAGGAAAAAAAATCACTCAGTGTATTATGGTAGCCCCCACTCTCTGAAGGGGGTTCCTATTTCCATCATGTAGATGAGCATGGTTCAACTCAATGAACCATGAGTCATACTTATTTGTCATATCGACAGAGTCTTTTTGGGCTGCTCACCTCTCTCTCAGATTATGACCACACATCTCTTATTCACCACCTTGGGTCATCATCTGACCTTCCTCCCTTTTTAAGATTCAATTTTATTTTACATGATTCAGTATGCACCCTCTAGTTTAGTTCCTTTTATTAATATGAATAGACTAAAGGTATAATGCATCTTATCAACCGAGTTCCCTTTAATGATTTGTTGGCAGAACCTACCAAGAAGCCAAAGATAAATGAGCCTGAAAAAATGTAGTTTTTAGAGTCCCAGCACCATGATCATAGAGCATGGAAGAGAAGTGACATTGATAAACAATGGAAAAAATAACCACATTACCTCATGTATTTGTTTTGATGATTGAGTTAGTCCTTATAAGATTCTTACAAAATAAGTGCTAAATAATCCTTTTTTTTTCTTAGAAGTGCATCTCTGGGGGGTGTTATGAGTGGAATTGTGAGCCCCAAAACTTGCCAAATTCATATTTTGAAATCCAACTTTCCAGTACCTTAGAATGTGACTTCATTTGGAAAATGGTTGCTACAGATTAAATTAGTAAAGTGATCATACTAGAGTGTGTAGACCAGTAATCCAATATGACTGGTGTCCTTATGCAAAGAGGAAACTTGGATGCAGGCAGACAAACAGGGAGAACTCCATATGAAAATAAAGGTGGAGATTGGGGTGATGTTCTTACAAACCAAAGAATGCCAATGACTGTCAGAAAACTACTAGAAGCTAGAGGAAAGTCATAAAAGAGTTTCTTCCTCGAAGCCTTCTTAAGAACTAACTCTACTGACACCTTGATCTTGGACTTCTAGCCTCCAGAACCGTGAGAAAATAAATTTCTGTTGTATAAGTCACCCAGTTTGTGATACTTTATTAAGACAGACCTAGCAAAATAATACACATGGGAATCATTATTTGACTCCTTCACCCTAACTATTGAGCTCAGAAATGTGCACCTGATATAAAATTAGATTGGCTATAATATGTCCAATATTTCAGAACCTGAAAAGAAGTTGCTGTGATAATTGCTCACAGGGATTTTGAATGCAAGACAGAAATATAAAGCAACTTATTGGTGGTTAGCTCCAAAAGCTGAGAGGTGCTAATAAAGAAGACAGTGTACGGAAATTGTGAACAAGCAGAAGTCACGTATTAGAAGGGAAATTACAAAGTAGTTTGTAGCAAGGACAAAAATAGACTAAAGACAAACAGAAATTTTACAGTAGTAATCAAAATGACAAAGCGATGAAGTTGTATAATGCAGCTAATGCAGAATTTAGGAGACAATTTATATTCTTAATGCAGGTATTGGAAAACGAGAAAAGTTGAAAATGCGTCATTTGAGCTCCAATATCAAGAATATGGAAAAGAGAAAATCAAATTAAACTCAAAGTAGATATATAAATTAATCAAAATTAAAAAATAGAAAACTTCTCTACAAGAGAGAAAAAATCCATAAAGCAGAGGCTAGTTCTTTACAAAATTAATAAACTATATTATACCTTAGTAAGGCATAGGAAAAAAGAAAACACAAATAATTATCAAAATTAAAAACAAAGAGGGGTTATTACTTCTGAACTTTCAGACATTAATAAAAACTTTAACAATTTTATGCCAATACACTTAAAGGCTTAGATCAAACTTGTTCAACCTGCAGTCCATGGCCTGCATGTGGCCCAGGATGGCTTTGAATGCAGTCCAATACAAATTTATAAACTTCCTTAAAACATTATGAATTTTTTTTAAAGCTCATCAGCTATCATTAATGTTAGTGTATTTTATGTGTGGCCAAGAGAATTCTTCTTCCAAATGTGATCCAGAGAAGCTGAAAGATTGGACATCCTGCCTTGGATGAGATAGATATATGAAAAACACAAGTTAACATAACTAACACAAGAAAAAAAATGACTTCCTATATATATTAGAGAAATTTAATTGATACAAAATAATTTTTTCTTAAAGAAAATTTCAGGTTCGGGTGGTTTTGCTTGTGAATTCTTCCGTACTTGGAAGAAAGAAATAAGACCAATACTATGCACACTTTTTTAGAGACAAGTAAAAGAATGAATGTTTCCTAGTTTATTTCATGAGACCACATAACCTTAATACAAAAACTTGACAAAAGAAGAATTACAGAACAATGTTTATTAACTCAGACACAAAAATTTTAAACAAGATGCTAACCAATAGAAATCAATGATATATGAAAAGTATGATATATCATAACCAAATGAGATTAATTCCAAAAATTTAAATTTAATATAATATCCAAAATTTATCAATGCAATTCAATACACTAATGAAAAGGAAATCATTATTTTTTCAATAAAGAATAATAATTTGATTAGATTTAACACCCATTCATGATGAAAACTATGGTCAAATAAGAAATAGAAAAGAGTTTCTTTACCTGGCATAAGATATCTACAAAAAATCCTAAAAGATAGATAGCTAATTGTGAAATATTTAACACACACAGAGATGGAGAAAAAAGCAAGAATATTCACTATCAGCACTATATTTGACATTCTATTAGAGGCCCTAAGCAGTAAAGTAGTTACAAAAAAGTAATAAAAGGTATAAAGTTTGAAAAAAATAAGTAAATTTTTACTATATGCTCTTGACATATGTCGAAAATCCAAAATAAATTATAATAATAACTTACATGTAAATTTATTAACACTCTCAATTACATAATTTAGCAAAAATGTCTCCTAATAAAAATGGAGGAAAATAGATCCATTTTACAAATTCCCAAAAATCACTGCATTCTTGAGAGTAAATCTAATGAAAAATGTACCAGAACTCTGCACTGAAAACTGCAAAATATTTAAGAGATAAATTAAATAAAATGGAGAGATATGGCATGCTAAAGGATTGGAACACTAAATACCATTAAGTCATTAATCCTATCCAAAGTGTTCTAATGATTCGACATGTTGTCTATGAAAATCTTGATAGTTTTTTTGTTTGTTGTTTTTGTGTTTTTATTTTTTTAGAAATTGAAGACCTGATTCTAAAATTTATGTGAAAACTCCAAGGAACTAGAATAGCTGAGGCAATAGAAAAAAACATAGCTGGAGGATTTAAAATATTGGCTACAAAGCCTTGATATAAAGCTACAGTATTGGCAAGAAGAATTAGATTAAGAGAAACAAAATAGAGATACCAGAAACAAACTTCGACAAATAGAGTCACCTGGTTTATGACAATGCCATCACACCAATTTGGTTTTTACAAAAGTGTTTGATTTGAGATCAATTTGATATCCACATTGAAAAGTGTATCTTGAATCTTATCTCGCCTGACACACAAACGTGAAATTCAAGATGGATTATAACAACAAAATATAAGAGCTGAAACCACAAAACTTCTAGAAGGAAACATGAGAGAATGTCTTTGTGGCCTTGAAATAGATAAAGATTTCTTAAACAGGAAGCAAAAAAATGTTAACCATAGAATAAAAGATTGAAAATTAAACATCATTTAAATTAAGAATTTCAACTCGTTCTGTCAAAGTACCCATACTCAGAATATAAAAGTAATCCTTATAAGTTAAAAAGAAAAACCCATACAACCCAGTAAAGGAATAGCCAAAGACCCAAGCACTTCACAAAAGAAGATATCCAAATAAGCGTTAAACATATGGAAAGGTGCACAGCATTATTTCTCATCAGAGGAATGCAAACTAAAACCACAATGAGATACCACTACAGACTCAACAGAATAGCTAAACTTAAATAGATGTAGATTATAGAGAAACTGTAATGGCTGGAGGGAGGTTTTGGTGGGAGGTTACATTTATACAACCATCTTGGAAAATTAGCAATATCTACTAAAACCAAATATATGTCAAATTTTTGACCCAGCATTTCCCTTCCTTGGCATGTGTTCAACAGAAATGACAGTTTACGTTTGTCAAGACTTGTATGAGGATGTTCATCATAGCATATCTATAATAAACCAAACCTGGAAACAATCCAAATGCCTTTCAATGATAAATGGGATAAACTATGTTATATTTATGCAATGGAACAGTGTATAGCACTAAAAGGACAAAATAAAATAAAAATACAGGACAACAGGACAAATCCTACATACATTATGCTGCACAAAACAAACAGACACTGAAGAGTATATTTTGCATGGTTGCATTAACATGAACTTCCAGAACAGGCAAAGTAGCTTAGTGTGGGATATAATGTGGATGAGTGTAAATTAGGACAAGCATGATAGAGCCTTTGGGGATGCTGGAAATATTCTATAGCTTGATATTATTAGTGATGGCATAGAGGTCTACATATATAAACATTTACTGAGCTATGCACTTTTAAATTTTTATATTTCAAAAAAATAGCATAGCATTTGAGGGAGTAGAGATCCAAAAAATATTCAGCACTGAAGATGGACAAGTAAACTTTATTATAAAAGCCACATGATTCCCACCTGTTCCACTCTCCTTGAGTTCTTGTCACTTAGCTGTTCCTGCCTTCTCACCAAGTGAGCCTGAGGCTCCACCCTTCCTCCTTTACTCATCCTACGAGTGAGTTCTGGGTCTGTATCTAGGCTTCTTGTCAATCAGTTTTCCTTGTATAACTTTACCAATTCCCTGATCACTGAGTTAATCTCTGTGGAGACTAAGCATCACTCCACCCAATGAAGCTTACATCTCCCTCTAGATTACTCTAGGTTTGTTCTTCCCATCTGGAAAGTTACGTCCTTTCCTCTTCATTTATCTTATCACTTATTAGTTGTAGCATCCTTTGAAATATCTCTGTTAACAGGGTACTCTTCCAACTCTCATATCTGTTGCATCATATTCATACTGCATAATGAACACTTTTATTTGATATCCCAGATACTCCTTTGGCTTTCTTTCACCTTATTCAAATTTTTACTCACCTGTTGGCCCTTTCCCAAAATCTTACTTTAAATTTGCAACACTAAACTTCTGTCCTTACATTGCTTTATTTTTCTCTCTAGCATTTTGCATCATGCATGTCCCCGAACAAACAAACAAACAAAAAAACTCCTCTAAACCAAAAATAATACCTAGCACATAATGGCTACTCAGTAAATATTTAATAAATGAATAAGTGAATATTAAAAATTCTTAATTTTATGCACTGCACAACATAATTTATAATTTTGTGTGTTTTCATTGCTAATGTTTTTATTTGTGTATATGTTGTAGTTAAATAAACTTTATTATTAATTCATTTATTGGGTGTGTTTTGTGGATTACTTGACTCCACATATTGCTGTTTTTGGTAATCTTTTCCTTTAAAGTATATTTAACAATACATCTATTAATTATAAGCTATAAATTATATAATCTAAAATTCACTTTTTTTCAATTTGTTAACTCCAGTGGAGACTATAACAATGAAAAGCACATTCTTTGCCTACACGGGAATAGAGGTGATTTGAAGAAAATCCGAAAAAGTATTTAAATCAATGATATGCTTGAAATCATAAGGGTGAAAGTATTCAGAAAAAACTAATACTAATGTGATATATGATTATATAATCAGAAGTGGAATCTTAGAGAACTTATAGGTGGCCTATAAGTAAAGATATATATGATATAATGTTGAAAATAATAAAACCATAATCATATAATTTTTATGAGCTATTTTTTAGCCTCATTGTTGTTTTTTGTTTCTCCTCTCCAAATTTTGCTGGAATATATACTTCTGTTGTTTCACTAAGTACCTTCTTGATTATATATTTACTGCCTAAAACCATTTAAATAATGCTATTTATCACATAATTAAAATTCCTACTTCTCATTGGAAAGCAAAATTAAATTTTAACAATTCCAAATAATCAGTATATATTAAACAACTTGGGATTAGTCTAGTCATACAGAGGCTGGAAAAAAATAGTTGAGAACCAAGAAGAATTTCTTAGTTTCTTAGATATCTCAAAATCCTTATATAAATGAACAGTTTGGTGTAGAACAAAATAGGGTTAAAATTCTCAGTATGACCACAAGTATTTCTGTAGCCTTCTTAAAAGAAAAGTATGCATTGATATATGCTATCATGGCAAATATTCTTAGTAGCCCCTGTATCTTTAAATCGCACTGATAGTTTTAATTTAAATTAAATTCATTGTTATCAGTCCCTGCAGATGTGTGAAAAGTTTACTGTCTCAGTGACATCATAAAGTGAAACTGAATAATACAACAATAAAAATGAAGGCAGGTTAATTAAAATGAAAGCCATGAAGCCTTCTTTAGGAAAGACATCCTATTTCATATTGTAAGTCAAATCCTCCCCTTTCCTTCTTTCTTTGCATGTCCAAATTCTAACACTTACAATTCGAAATAAAATTTTACAATAAATTAAGTAAAGACTTGTATGTCAAAACATACCAATGTATGTGGGAATTTTTTAAAAATGCCATCTATCTTTTTTTTTCAGTTTTAAGAAAGTGCATTTAAATCATTCCAAACAGTACGTTACGAAGGCAAGCAATCAGCCCAGCCAAGCTGAAAAGAGGAATGAATTTTCCTGAGAAATAAAAGGAGAAGAACAGACAAAATGAAATATTTTGTGCTATTTAAATTGCAAATGCAGTTGTTTTTTTTACCAATGGCTCCAATGCCATATTGGCAGCTTCAAATAAATGATGAACGTAGCATCTTTTTCTCCTCACTGTTATCAACAGTTTAGACAGTGCGATTAATTTCTCCTAGGTACATGAGGAATTTTTTTCCCTTCAAAATTTTGGCAGTTTTTTTTTGTTATGTTCAGAGTTTCCATAAGCTTGGCAGTAAATCTGATAATTTCATAAAAACATAGTGTCCATAGGGGAGAAAAAGGCAAGATTAGGACCAGAAGAATAATGACTTTTTGTAAAGAATTCATAAACCTTTTTTTCTACTATTTCCTTCATTTTATGCTGAAAAGTTAGAGCTTGTATTTAGGATTTCAGCTTCTCAAAAAAATGATTTGAAAACACCATATGTTTTTGAAATGACCTCTAAAATCAACTGCTGCTAAATATTTGCAGGGTATTTATAATCTGAATCCATTTATATTTAGCCCTTTCGACTACAATAGGAGCCTCTTTTTCAGTTATTCTCAAGCACAATATGCCATAATTATGCCCTGTGTTGTCATTTGAACTTACTAACTGGTATATTCTTGGAGATGAGTTTGGCCAAACCTATTTCCAGATTTCCAATAGGTAAATAAAATTATTATTAGTGTCTACATAAGAGGATGACACTTTTCATTCTTGCTTCACTGTCTATCTTCTTGCTAGGGAAAGATACTCCTTGGAGAAAGCCCCTCCACTGCACCTACTCACAGCCCTTGGGAGAAATCCCAACAGGCACTGCTCAGACCCTAGAGCCTTGTTGGCCCTGGTGTCTGGGGAGACTTTTTCAGGGAGAGAGAGACTTCTTTTTTCTTCCATAAAATCCCAATATTAAAAACCTAGAATAAAACATAACGTTTCTTTCTCCTCATGACTCCCCACATAGGAGCAGCTGGAGCTGGACTGTTGAGGTCTAAGAAAGCCCACAGCAAGCAGCCTGTGCTGGTTAATCCAGAGATGGCAGAGTAGATGTTTTCTGTCTGGCTCTGACCAGGGCCTCTGTCTTCTAGATCTAGTGGATTGTGACTTCCAAGATTTAGGATGGGGCTTCTGAGCAAAAGGAAGTGCAATTTAACAGATTTCACTAATAATGAAGTGTCACCTTGTTTTCCTTTGTCTCTGTGTGTTTTCCCTAAGAGAACTTCTGGGATGACTGGGTGGCGGCCCCAAACCAGGAATCTAGTATGTGTTGGGGCGCCACAGGAAATGCCTCCCAATTTTAGACACTCTCTGGAAAAAATTACATTTGACTTGTTTTGTAAGAGTTTATTAAGAATATTTGTCTAGGGTGTATTTTCACCACTCTTTTGATATATGCTCCTTTCTACCCATGTAATTATCCCAATATTTTTAGGACAAGACTAAATATAAGCTAAAATATAATTATAAGCAATAAAATGTTTTCCAGAAATTTTTAACTGAAGAAGAGATCTATAATTTTTACTAATTTTTCAAGCCTCAATCAAAATTTATCTTCTTCATGTAAATCTTCTATGACTGGCCTGCCTTGAGTAGTCTCTATCCTCTGTTGTCTTATAATAACTTTTAAAAGATCAATTCCTTTGGTAATGAATTGTGTGTACCTTGTGATATTTCTTCATTTTATGTGTCACCTGTTGTTTTGAAATTATCATTTTCTTTGTGTTTCTAAAATGTACCCAAATATATTGTGAGACTTTGGAGGGCACTGATTTTTAAAAATTCCTTGATATTAATAATAATAGTTAAGTGTATTGCACTCTGACTACATGACAGATACTGCTCTGTTTTACACATTGGTCCTCACCACAAATTTGAGGTTAGTACCATTATCTTCACCTTTTTATGGATGTGAAAGTAAAAACTAGTAAGTGTTTGAGTTGTATTACTCTCAGCCCCTAATATTTTGCCCAGAAAACAATGAATATTTTTATAAAAAGGAAATAATGAATTTGAACCCTTTGAGAAAATGATAAGTCCCACAGTCTCCCCAAAACATGACACTAGTTTGCAATCCAAGGAGAGTTTGTATTTCTACCCTTTTGTGAAAAAGAAAACCATGTGTGTCTAAACCAGACATAAATACAGAACATTAGAGCTGAAGGAAATAGACATTTTCTAGTTATTAGCTCCTTTTCATTTTCCCAACATCACAGAACCATTGGGAGGAGAGGCAGGATGCTGGTCCACAGCCCTATCAATTTAGTCTAAGTTGAATTCCCAAGAAATATTTTTATTGTGTTATCCTACCAGGACAGGCCGTTAGTAAATGAATTTGTGGAAAAAAAAAGTTTTCCTCACAATAGGCTTAGTAGCAAGGCTTTAACAAGATTTGCTGAGTACTCCATGTGCAATAGATGTAAGAAGGTCAAGAAAACAGATTTTATTTCATCAATTCTTTGGTCTCCATGTGGTAACCTTTCCAAAACTTTTTAGAGCAATTTCTTAACACCATTTATTGAATTTAGATATAATAAAATCTCACAGAGCCTTGTATTATTTTTCTTTACGATGAAATCCAAGATCCTCTCTGATTAGCATGGGTTTCTAAAGCCTAATTCAAATAAAGGTAGGGTATACAGTTCTTGACATTTCAATATGATTTTTTCTTCATTTTCCAGTCATTTATCAAAAATACTTTCAATTTTAATTATATTCTTTCAATATATATTTGATTTTGTGATTACATGTACTGATGAGTCTAAAAGTAAACTGTTTTCAGGAACTATTGGGTAAACATTGAAATCTTTTTTTGACCCTATTACCTCTAACTGGCCATTAATTCATCCATTCATTCAATTGGCAAATATTCATTATGAGAATCTTATTTAATCTTATATAATCATGGTACCAGGATGTAAAGATACTTTGCCAAGTAAAACAAACATGTACCTTGCTGTAAGTCTAGTGAGCAAGCCAGACATTACTGGAGAAATTACAATAGATAAATTGTAACTGCAATGAGTTCTATAATATAATTTCGTGTATGACTTATCCCAGAATTTTGCATGAACACCAACTCATTAATTTGTTTTGGATTTTAAAAATTTTTCTTAAAAATACCCCAACTGAATTCACTTATATAAATAAAGCATAAAAATGAATTTGAATGCTGTTAAATTTCTAAAATAAACATAACTATTTTTAAATTCAGATGGCAAAAATATCTGAACAATAAATTTCACTATAATATTGTAATGAAAATAAGTTTACATAATATTACATTATGTTTATAGAAAGAACACAATGATCAAATAATTTAGAATATTTTCTGTAATATTATATAAAACATTTCTTGAAAAGATTGAAAAATGTGTGTCATGTTACCGAGAATTTGAGAAATCGTCAATTACATAAATAAAAATGAGAAAATGTAAATAATTTATTTTAGAAACTCAGATATAAAGGTTACTTATAATATTTTTATTTTTAGTTTCAGAATATTTATGAATGTGTAAATGATAACCAGCCAATAGCCAGGTTAATCACATCACATTGTTTTAGTATAATGTTCTCAAGCAGGAGTGATGTTAAAAAGAAGAACAACAAGAAAACGTAGTGTGGAGTCCAGTCCAGTATTCAAACACAAATAATTACAGAGCTATTCAAATTGTAGGAAATGTTCAATGTATATTTGAATTACAAAATTGAAGTGGGTGTCTTTTTACAAATGTCCATTAATGCTAATAAGGAAAGAAGTACAGAGTACTGGGGCGCCACTAATCAGGCATTGTCAATGTTGGGTCAAAAGAACTAAGTGATAAAGGCAAATTTTATACACTTAGTAGTAATTAGGAGATTATTATGTATGATTTTATCTTAATTGGTTTTGAGAATTAATTGGGTGGTAACAAAAGCTGGCAAAAATCTTTTCATTTGAGTAGAACAATTAAAAACCCCAAAAGGCTTGGAGCTGATGATAACCACTCTACTGGATTAACTCCTATCTATAAAATCAGAAGCGATTTATTATTTATCTGAAAATTAAGTTAATGTCAATGACTAATGTATATTACTTAGTTGAGTACATTTCAACTTTTTAAAGCATGTTTCTTTAGATAAGGTCAAGTCTGTATAAATAACTGATATAATAGTAAGCAATTTCTATGACTACATTTTTCTCATTTAGATCAAAACTGAAAATATATATAATTAAAGTAACAAGACATAGTATTTATTACTCTCTAAGAGCTAAACTGCGGTTTTTTTTTTTGGTTTTTATTTTTGAATTTTTGTTGTTTTTTGTTTCTGTTTGGTTTATCTGTCTGATTTGCCACGCTAAAAATTTATATTGGGCTTAAATTACAAATAAGGAAAAAAATTCCAGCCATATACAATAACATGGGTGAACCTGGAGTACATTATGTTAACATGAAATAAGCCAGGCACAGAAAGACAAATACTGCATAATCTCACTCATATGTGGTATCTAAAAAAGTAGAACAGAGAAGTGGAGAATAGAATGGTGATTTCCAAGAACTGGAGGAGTAGCAAGGTAGGGAGGACGGAGGAGATGTTAGTCAAAGCATACAAAATTTCAATTAGGATGAAAAAGTTCAAGAGATCTATCATACAATATGGTGACTACTGTTAATAACAATTTATACTTGAAAATTGCTAAAAGATTAGATTTTAAGTGTTCTCATTTCAAATAAATATATGAGGCAATTCATATATTAATTAGCTTGATTTAGCCATTTTCACACTGTGTACATCATGTTGTACACCATAAATACACACTTTTTTTGTCAATAAGAAAGAGAGAGGCAGGGAGGGAGGAAGAGAGGGAGGCAGGGAAAGAAAAGCCCTTATTTCTGGATTTCTATGTCTTGATAAGGTCAAAATTATCTCAGCCTTTCTTAAGATTAATTTCTTAAAATTTCAACTTATCTTTTAACATAGTGGTTCAAACTAAGAAAGATGAATCTAGCCTTGATATTTATTATAAGTAAAATATTTTGGAATAAACCCTAGTTTGTCAGCAATTAAGGGGATTGAGTTCACTGTCAAGCAAATATACATAAAGACTGATCATTTATTTTTAGAATCCTAGAATGCTAAATTAAATTATGGCTGAAGAAAAATATTTAGTCACAAATGACACACATGTATTTATAATACTGCTGCAATGATATGATTTTCTAGTGTTATGCTTAACTGGTTAATATTCAGCAGGAACCATTTGTTCTTCTCCCAGTATTTATTAATGAATTCCTTATCAGATATTACAAAATCATTTGCCTACATTTTATCTTCTTATGTTTAAAAAGGAGGGGCAATGTTTTTGTATGTTACCAGATTGTTAAGCAGATTAGTTAGAACAAATGTCAAATACTTTTGGTACTTACATAAATGAAATGAAAGGATTAGTCCAGAATTTTTTGTTAATACCCAATGTGGATTCTGTTTCCCATAAAGATGTGGAATAAAAGCATCAAGATATTTTAAAGTGAAAAATGTTTGGTTTAAATTGAGTGTAGATTTATCCACCTTTAAAATAGGTTTCCAAAACTGTTTTATACATGATTAACATTCCTCAATTATATTTGTGACAAAGTAATTATTCAGGTAAGTAAACACATACTCACACTAACAAAATACTGAGATCCAGTGCAAATTTAGAATATATCTAAGCAGATGGAAATAAAGCAAGAGAAAAAGCAAGTGGAATAAAATATCAGAAAGTTTATTATCTCAATAAGAAATGCTGGGTTTTGTGTTTTGAAACCTGTTCCAAAATGGTAAGCTTTCTTTGTATTCACCAAGCATGTTTGTTTTCACATTTTCATAGTCATTCAACAGTCTTTGACAAGCTCTTTGTGGCTAAGGAAATTTAAAACTACTACTTTGAAATTCTCTGAACAACTCACAGATACCATCAAAATATACTGCTATAGTATCAAGCAATGTTGAAGAATTATGCCTTTAAAGTTTTGCCAAGAAACCTAGCAAGCTTCTTTCTTTCTTTCATTATTGAGCAGAGTTCTACACTGCCTGCCTTTGGGCTAGGCAGTTCCAAAGATATTTCTCATGTAACAGCTTACTGCAAAAGTTTTAGACCAGAAAAAGACTTATTTCTCTCACTCCAAGGGAGCAACATGATGTAAACAGAAAAAAAACAATATGCAAAAGCAGAAGAACTGTCTCAGCAAATCATGGAAACTTCCTAGAATTTGGTATTTTTATTCAGAAAATGATGGGCGTGTCATTGCTGGTGTCTCACTGATACGGTTTTTCTGTGTCCCCACCCAAAATCTCATATTGAATTGTAATCTGGATTATAATCCCCCACATACTGGGGAAGCGGCCTCATAGGAAGTGGTTAGATCACGGGGGTGGTCCCACTATTCTTTTCTCATGATAGTGAGTGACTTCTCATGAAATCTGATGGTTTTGTAGGGGGCTTTACCCCTGCTTCACTCAGCGCTTCTCTCTCCTGCTGCTATGAAGGACATAAAGAAGGACATGTTTGCTTCCCCTTCCGCCATGATTGTAAGTTTCCTGAGGCCTCCCCAGCCATGTAGAACTGTGAGCCAATTAAACTCCCTCCCTTTTTATTTTTAATAAGTTACCCAGTCTCAGGCAGTTCTTTATAGCAGTGTGAGAATGGAATAATACACTCATTTAGCACTCAAATATGAGTTGGCTATGCTTCCAGTCAGTTAATTGTCCAGCTCTTATTATAAAGAGTGTAACTAAAATTGAATTATATTTCACATTACACAACCTTACTCTAAGCTGAAGAATCTGCTAAAAATAATACATTATGTGTGGCCAGGAAATAAGGGAGGGAAGAGAGGAAGGTCAAAGGAGAAAAGAGTGGGAAGAAAGAAGCAGAGAGATGTTTTGTTTCTTTTGTTTGTTGTTGATGGTGTTGCATTGTTTCCTTAAAGGCAGGTGTTGAAATTATTTTTTTTGCCCTCTTAGAGATTCATCTAAAGGCAGTGGGTAATATCCAGCGGCTTCTTGACATCTTCAGTTGCTCAGGTACTGCAAACAAAGAATTACTCTATATAGATATGGTCCCATTCCAGTGCTTTTCCTGTTAATGACACCACTACCCAGAAACTTTGAAAGCCAAAAACTTCTCCTTCAGTTTGCAAATTTCATGCCTCACTAAGTATTGACTGTTTTATCTGCTGAAATCACAGAACTCTGTCCACTGCTGTCATTTCCATCTACTAATAATTTCTTTGTTGGAGGCTATAATGGCCTCTTAAGTGGCATACTTACATAAAGTTTGCCTTTCTCCTACCAAACTGTCTCCATTCTATAGCCATGGAGTTCTTCTTAAAATGCATATCAATCATACCATTATTCACCTCAACATTGAAGAAACCATGACTTCTCACTGCTCTTAGGATAAAATCAAATCCCAAACACATTTCATGTGTGCTTGTTTTGACAGCACATACATGAAACACATTTCACTAGATCGTTCTGCAATAATGGAAATGTTCTGGAAACTTTCCAATATGGTAGCCACTAGCCAAATGTGGATCATGAGCACTTGAAAGATGGCTAGTTTAACCAAGGAGTTAAATTCTTAAATCTGTTTAAATTAAATTCAAATGTAAATAACCACACAGGCCAGTGGCTGCTGTGTTAGTGTAGCTCAAAATAAGGCCCACTAGATCCCACATTGTCTCTTCCTACCTGTTCTCCAGTGTCTTCCTATAAAGCCTCTACCTGGCCGGGAGCAGTGAGGCTGAGGCGGGTGGATCACGAAGTCAGGAGTTCGAGACCAGCCTGGCCAATATGGTGAAACCTAGTCTCTACTAAAACTACAACAATTAGCTGGGCGTGGTGGTGCATGCCTGTAGTCCCAGCTATTTGAGAGTCTGAGGCAGAAGAATTGCTTGAACCTGGGAGGCAGAGGTTGCAGTGAGCCGAGATCACACCACTGCACTCCAGCCTGGGCAACAGAGCGAGATTCCATCTCAAAAAATAAAAAATAAAAATAATGCCTCTACTCTTTCTTCTCTTTGATTCATTCCTATAAATTTCACAAGTTCATTTTGGTCCCAGACACCTCAAAAAACGCTCTTTGATAGAAAAACTTTTCTCACCCTTTTTCTTTCCTAGTTAACACCTACTCATCCTTCAGGGAATCCAATAAAAAAGTCATTTCCTTAGGAAAGCCTTCCTTGACCACATGATGTTTTAATTTTAAATGTTCTCATAAGCACTGTCTACCTCGTCTTCATTGTCCTTGCCATAGATGCAGTCTTACATTTATATATGGGCTTATTTGATAAAACTAGATTGTAAGATCAATAAGGGCATAAATGATTGTTGCCTAGCAATTACTCTAGTGTTTAGCACATAGTAAGTACTCCATAAATATCAGTTGCATGAAGGAGCGATTCTTTAACTTTTATTATTCTGCCACTCAGTAGTCTCAATTTAATTTGAATTTTTCTGGTAATTTTTTTTGGCAAATCTTTGTGTAAGTATTAAGCATGCAAAATGGCAGCTATGGAAAGCTTATCCAATTGCCAGTCTCTTCTCAGATCAACAAGGGAATGGAACTGGAAATCTTCCTTGGTATTTAGTGATAGGGCAATCATTCACTAACACCCAAGCTAAAAGCTCAAACAGTGATTATTATTAGTATCCAAATTGCCCGTAACAGCCTAAGCTACCTTCAAGCTGACGAAGTAGTGAAAATGTCTTTCATAACTTTCACCAACAACCTGAGGTGCACAAATCCCTCTGCCCTTTTTATCTTAACCAAATCCCTTGTCAAGTCATTGGTCCCTGTAACTGGCATTTTAATCTCCTTGTGTGGTTCTGCTTGTCCCATTTCACACTTGTTATCAGCACACTCTTCTGCAGCTTAATGCCTTCAGAGTCATGCATAGTTCTATTGACACTTAGATTCTTAAACTCCTTTTTAAGGATCTTTAAGATTCAATTTTTTTGCCATAGCAACTGGTTAAATCCTAATTCTGTGACTGTACTTTGCACTTTTGAGGGGACAGATTTATAGGGCAATCTGTGCATTCATCCAGCTTGCCCCCACACCTTGAAGACTAGAAAAATCATCTCTCTGAATTCTCTGAAGGACATGTAATACTGAAGAGTATACTCTGCATCTAGATGTCTGTCCACACAAAATGGCTCAATAATCTATGCATTTTAACTGCATAAAACATTAAAGACTGTTCAATTTACTTCACATGAATTCCCTTTAGTCAGTCAAATGACATGTATGTGAAAGTATGCTGGGAATGTTCACCTTTGACCCCTCTCAATGTAACATGGGTTATATAGGTGCATCATAGTATGGGGCTAGAAATATAGATTTCAAAACCATGATGCACTGAGCCTCACATAATATCTTTGACATTATCTAACACTATGAATCTCATTCTATAATTATCATAGGAAAATCATAATAATACCTATCTACTTCTTACTAATATGAAATGAATGAATGTAGCATGAGTGCCTATGATACATTTGGTAAATATTCTATTCTTTCTTTTCCTATTCTCTCTTACTGCTAATATTTGACAAGGTCTTTCCTCCAAGAATTCTTGAGGCTGTCCATACAGGCTCAGGTCCATCATGCCCAACTGAAAACGATTACTTAGTTCTTTAGTATCTTCAGCCCCCCAACTCTTATCATCCATAATTATTTTTGCTGGATTAAGTCCAAGTACCCAGCACGGCTGGACCTCTTACTTCAGGTATTCTAGAGTTTGACCATGCAGTCTTTAGGGTATTTATGAAAGATTAACTCTAATTATTCTGCTTTATTTTGTCTATCATTCCAATTCTCTGCTGCTGTTGGAGCACCAACATTGATGTGATCAGAACCATGGCCAGCTCTTTCTATCCCTTTGTCTTACTTCTTTATCTCCAAAAATGGGTTTTATTTCTAGTGGATGGGTGGCTTGGTTCTCACTGCTGCCCTCCATTTAATTTGAAGACTGGAGTGCCATTTTTAATTCTTCTACCATATAACATCTTTGTGAATACCAACACAGGATGAACCACACCTAAATTTGCCACTGTGAACTAGAGTGTCTGGCCACCATAGCTGATTCATAATCTTCTCTTTCAGTATTCTCCTTTTCTCCCCTCTTGCAAAGCCTTGTATTTCTGGGGTCAGTGCCTGTTTCTCCAGCCTAATAGAAGTATCCTGTTAGGATAAAATACTTTATGCAACCAAGACTAAGAGAAATTTGGAGAAAATAAATTCTAGTTGAGAAAATCTGAGAAGCTGTTTTCCAGTAAAATATAAACATTGGCCATTATATAGATGAAATCATAATAAAAATAGAAGAAAGATGTTCTAGCAATAATTATTGATATTTAACTTTTAAAACTAAGAAAAATAAATTAACCTGGTTGCTAATCTTATAAAAGAAACTAAAATTGCATGGTCCCCACTCACCCACAAACCCTACACTCAGCTCACTAATTCTCTGGAGTCAATGGCCAAGTTTCTTATAGTCCATGTTAACCTACTGACATTTGAACAATTGACCTGGAAAATTTGAAGAACATAAGTCTAATAGCTTTTTCAGGTAAAATGTCTGTCATCTGTGGTGGTGGGCAACACACATTTGACAGCAGGTTTCTGTCAGCCTGGCTGACTCCAGATTTCTTGAAGTGCTAAGGGAATAGCTCAAAATGTAAGATGGAAGCTCCCAATCAGGTCTGTGTTCCCTGGATTTCTCCAGCTCTCCATTTAAATTCTTGATCCTTAAAACAATACATTTTAAAATCTGTTCTTGCTTCCACCTGCATTCAAATGTTTTGTCTTTCAGACGATCACTTTCATTATTCTCCATTTGTAGACTCCAAGAAGTGCCTAGTATTTTTGGCCCTTTTCAGTCAACTCAGAAACAAAAAGACAAATGCTGATGTTTATCTGTTTCTAGTTGATTTGGCCAATTCTCATTAGAATCTCAAAAGAGGTGTAATATACTTATCCTTAGGTCAAGTTTCATGGCAATAATTTCAACAATAAGCAGAATTGACATTGCACTCCCAAATTTTTATTCTAAGGACTTTTCAAAGTTAAACTTTGATGAGAAAAATACAGAGAGTAAAATATATTTTATTATAAATTCTGAGGCATTGTTATTTCTAACAATGTAAATATACTATTCAATGTAACCAAACAACCTAATTAGAAGTTTAACTTTCAAAAGTACCCCATTTATTCTCATAAATTCAAATTCACCTTTGAAAAAACAACTGTGATTAAGAAGGACAAATAATTTCAAATAAATAAAAACCCAGAAGTAAACATTATAACCCAATACATTTTTTCCTCTATGAATGTGTATGTATGTTCCCCCAAATTCAGATTGTACAGAGTGTTGTTGATTTCTTTTTGCTCATTATCTGCTTTGTTTCATGGCAAACAATTCTCCATGATGTAAAGAATTTTTTAAAATTCTGTCTTTAATGAATGAATTATATTTTCTTTTATGGTGGTGGCACTGTATGCATTTCTCCTTATATATATTTAGGTTATTTTTTATACATACTCCTCACTCTAAGAAAAAAGATGCAGTGGAAATCCTATATAAATTTTCTTCCAAATTGCTAATTATTTCCTTGAGGTAGATTTTCCAAATTAGGAATACTGATGGAAATGGTGTTAATACTGTCAATTCCTTTTTTATTTTTATTTTTGACACATTATATTCAAATAGCAATCTAATCACATGTGGTCCAAGAACATTCAGATAACAAATCAATTATAATCAGATGTTAAAGATTGGGCTTCAAGCATTATAGCCAATAATACCATGTTTGTCTATGAGCTCTCTGAGATAAAATCATATCCACCCTTTGGTGATCCCCAAACCATGCAGCACAGCTTCCTTACCTGTGAGCTGTTTGAAGCTACCAGTTTGAGCACTATTGACTGTTGGTTTTGTTTTGTTTTCAGGCTCTGAATAGCTGTAGGGATCTCAGCAGAGGTTGGAGAAACCAGCTCAACCTTGATGTAGTGCCAAATTGTGGCCAATTGATACTTCAATTGGGGGATGAGGCTAGAGGATCACATAAGCCCAGGAGGTTGAGGCTGCACTGAGTCATGATTGTGCCACTGCACTCCAGCCTGGGTACAGAGCCAGAAGCTGTCTCACAAAAAAAAAAAAAAAAAAAAAGAGAGAGAGAGAGAAAGAGAGCAAGACAAGGGAAAAAAAAGGATATAAAGACAAGCTTCATCAGAGTTCACTAGCCTGACACCATATTGAACCAGAAGCTCCAGTGCTGATTTAATATTGCATTCTCAGACTACTTTTATTCACTTTTTAAAAAATCTAAATGGACTTTTAGACCTCTTAAATATGTGTATTGACAATAAACCTAAGAGCTAATGGCTGCCATTTATTTAACCTTGTTATGTGTGCAAGTCCCTTTCCTAAGCTTTTAAATTATATTTCTAACGGTTTAAACATCATAAAAATATTGTTAAGTGTAAACCCATTTTAATTTACACAAAATATGGTGCAGAGAGATTTAGTAATTTTCCCAAAGTTACAGTAGTAGTACCTGAAGAACCAAGAATTTGAGACTCTTTTTAACTATGAGATTATTTTTATTAATAAAAGTGCTTATTCACATATGTATGATTTTAAGATGAAATAATGAATACTACAGGATAGTACAGTTTAATTGAAAATTATTTTTAAAAACCATTCTTGTTTACAAGAGAAATAGCAATAGAAGGTTTTCCATAAGTAAAACACAAAAATAAAGCCTTTGAGTTCTTTGTAAACCACAGGTGTACATAAAATCGAAGATTATGTTTTCCTATATTGGAGTCAAAGATTTTGTTAAGTGACTTGAGATTTTATCACTATTTTGGGAATGCAAAGGGAGGAGAATACTGGGAAATAAAATATATGTTCATAAAACACTTTTTATTCTCTGAATTTTAAACCTACTTGCTTTGTAATTGGGTAACTGTGATAATCAAAGCCTCTAGCACCAATAACACTTTCCAGAAGCAAATCTTCTTGTGGTACATATTGATCATGTTTCTCATTATGTTGCCTTATTTAAAGTGAATATTTTCCCCTCTCATGTTTACATTAATGGCTTCCATAACTATCAACAACCACAAACTACAACTGTGTAAAATGTCCTATGGACAGTAAAGTTAATTTACACTGATGTCTCGTTTTGTTAATCCAAAATATCTTTTTCTTAAATGAATTCACTGCATGAAAATTCTTATATTACCTTCTTAATAAAACATTAAAACTCATTCACAAAATCTTTACATAGAATTTTCTCAAAGACAGCATAAAAAGATTTTTGTCAAAATTGCTGAAAAAATTTGCATTTTGGCATCTAATTGAAATATCTGTAAATATATTTCATTTCAAATGTTTCTATTGCTCTAATTTAAATGCATATGAAATTACATTAATAGCATAAAGTTAATGCCTGATATTGGACACTGTAATTAGCTAAATTCAATTTAGTTATAAAAATTACTCCTAGACATATATAGATTTTTTCCCTATTTTTTGAGCAAAGTATACAGATATACAGAGTAGAATAAAGGATTCGGGGAGAGGAATAGATGATTTAGGAGTAGGCGCTGACAAGGACCATTCCCAGTAGACTATAAGCTTCACAGAAGTGGGTGCCATGTTTGCCTTTCCTCTGACTCTATCTTCATAATCCTGCTCTCACTAAATATCTGTTGAATAAGCAACTCACCAAATAAATGACATGTGGCTTAAGTCTACACCTAAACTGTTTAATGAAAATTTCAAATATGTCCTACATTTTCAAAGGACAGTTTTTTAATTTATTTACTTTTGCTTATTTGCTTTTGTCAACCATCATCCTTCCATCTCTAATCCCTGCCCCAAGTATGATTCTCTTCTCTATACCTCTCCCTTACCCCTGATATCTGCTTCCTGACCTTGTGCTTGCTACATACTACGATGTGCTGTCCTCAAATGTTTTGTGGATACCTCTATACCTTGGATTATATTGCAAAGGTTGTCTATCCTTAGCACTTTAGCTGGCTGAGATTATCTACCTGCACACACCACACATGCACACACTCACACACAGATGCACACCTTGATCTCTATGGAAACAATCAATACTATTAACAGTAATCATTTACTGTTTACTAAGTATTATTTAGCAAGTATACTTGTATAATAAGTATATATACTTGCATTGCATAGTACTATGTAAAGTAAATATGAAAGTGTTACATAGTAAGTATTTACTGAGTGATTAAGACTTGCAAATTATATGAAATGATGATTAAGGCCTCACAACATTATGAGGTAAAAACTATTCACAGACTGCAGCCAACACACCTGAGGCTCAGAGCAGCTGAGTAATTATTTGAGATAACGCAGCTGGTGAGTGGTTGAACTGTATTTGAAACACAGGCAGTGCAATTTCAAAACTAATGTGCTTAGCCCTGACTTAGGCTATCTACTGTCAGGAAGAATTTCTGTGCCAAAATTGGACTCTGCTTCTTTGAGAGCTGGTTATCTTTGCATAATAAACCTTTTGTAGTTTCCATATCAGATTACAATCTTTATAAACATTAAATAATTGTTTAATGATTGACTAAATAAATATTAAACTTATCTCTTTGACATAGACGGCTAGCTTGGGATATGGATTATGTTTGTCGAGTTAATGTGTGTATTCTGGAAATAGAAAAGAAAGTAAGAGGAGATGAAAAATCTAAAGTTTGATACTTCAAAATCATTCTTCTTTACTTCTTGAAACATTATTTTAGACGAGTATTATTATTTGTATATTTATTTATTTTTAATATTTATTTATTTATTTTTTGAGATGAAGTCTCACTTTGTCTCCCAGGCTGGAGTGCAGTGGTGCTATCTCTGCTCACTACAACCGCCACAACCGCCCCCTCCTGGGTTCAAGAGATTCTCCTGCTTCAGCCTCCTGAGTAGCTGGGATTACAGGTGCATGCCACCACACCCGGCTAATTTTTTTGTATTTTTAGGAGAGAGAGTGTTTCACCATGTTGGTCAGGCTGGTCTCAAACTCCTGACCTCATGATCCACCCGCCTCAGCCTCCCAAAGTGCTGGGATTACAGGAATGAGCCACTGCGCCCGGCATTATTTGTATATTTATAAGATATATAGCAATGAGGAAACTAGGATTCAAAGAACTTAAGTAGCTTACTGTATACCATTTCTAGTAAGTGGCAAGGCCAACATTGAAAAGCAAGCCTGCCTGGCTCCAAAATCAGTGCTCTTAATCCAATTTAATCTATAAATGTTACCAGGAGACCTGGCATCCTCTCTTGAGGTTTCAACTCTATCCATGAGTAACTAAGATAACGTGGTTTGAGTTCTTGTTTTACTTTTCATGGGTTTCATAATTCTGAGTGGTCATTTCAAACCATTGCAGTGACTGACTTACTGAGAAAATTAAGGAGTTAGAAGTAAAGCTATCTAAAATCCATACTTGAACTAGAGGACTACTGATCTGAAATTTAACAACTCTTTTGTACAATTATAATTGATTCCAACTGGAATATCTTCAGTTTAGAATTTGTAATATACTGTACAAACTGCCTAAAAACATTAGTTATCGTCATGACTGCAAATTCTGTAAAACAAATCAATAAACAAAAGAGATGCTGACTTATAGAGAAAGTTACCAGCTATTAATAGCTCACCTGGGTATACAAACCAACACTCAGATTTGCATGATACAACCTTGAAGAAAAACTGGGTGTGCTAGTTAATAGTCTCCCTTATGACTATGATTTTCCAATATGTAAGTTATTTTATCCTTCAAAGGGATATTATATCTTCTATTTTTTAGAACCTATTCTCTCAAGCACAGTGGCCAAGAATTGATGCATGGTCCCTTAGAGAATTCCATGATATTTAGCTCTTCTGGGGAGAGATGGCATTTCAGGTTCAGGATGATTCATCTCTTGGTTGATATGTCAAGTTTTCCTTTGGGATGTTAGTTGTTGCAAGGCATATGATGGAGTTATCACTGGTGGAACAAAACCAGTCGATGGTGGAACAAAACCAATTTTGTCAGAGGAAACAAAACCCTGGAGCTGGGTTAGAGTCAGACTGCTCCTTTAGAGCAGCTAAGTGAAAGAATTGGCATGTGTCCAAACACCCTATTAGGCAAAATCTTCTGAATTTTAGATACATGCTGCTTTCCAACATTCTGGTATACTCCATGTGGAGAGTCAATGATCCCCTGCTGGCATAGAGAGCCTTATCATCCTGGTAATTAGTGAAACCATTAGGGGTTTTATTGATCAACAAACCAATGGGAATACCCAAAACTTGTCCTCAATCCCAGCCATTTTTCAGGATTCACTCACACTCTATGTAGGATACTATGTTTCACATGTGTGCTGCCCATCTATGTAACTCTTTAACAGAGGTTAATAAATATAAGAAAGGATTTTTGCACTTCAGGATTTATTCACCTATTTGGAGAAGACTCAGCCACATGGGAGGCCCCTAGCCGTGAACTTAGGTAACATGGCAGCCATTGCTCAGAAGGAAGATTAGGTTCAGTATTCATTATTATTAGATGCCCACCACAGCCAGCTTTAGGCAATCAAATTAAGGAACCATAAAATGCTAAGAAACGAGCACAGACTAGATTCTAAATCCTAGCTATGATTCATGAATCACATTAATTTCGCGAGTTTGCCTGTGATTTAGTTTCACATAGAATATCTTCCCTTCGTAAATCTAAACCCATGGCTTTTCAGGGTTTAAAGAAATCCTCCAAGAGGGACTGTCCAGAATAAAAATACTGCCATTACCCCAGTGCCCTTGACACTGCCTTGAGTTTCAGTTCCCCTATAACCATCTCACTTCCTTTCCCATAGCCATGCTAGGCCTGGCCCTGAGAAGGATGCTTATATACCTCGGGCCCAATTTCCAACCCAATTCCTTAGCAGAGCTGAAACAGCCACAATTTTTCAAAAAGGATTTCAATAAAATCAGAGGAAAAAAAATTTAAATAAAGAAAATGTAATAGCATAAAACAGTCCAGTAAATGAAAAACATGTTTCTTTCTATATTATCACTGTCTCATATCACTTATTAGCATTGAAACCAAGTACAGGGCTCCTTCCAATAATTCAGATTATTTCTCAAGATGTTGGTCTAATAATGGATTATTTTGAGGAGATGGCATTCTTTTTTTACTATTACTTGAGGCAGCCTACTAATTAATTCTAATTTATATTTGTTCATTGCTATCTCAGTTATGTTTTCTTCTTCCATAGGGTCATTCTGTATATAAGCAGAGTGATTAGAAGCCTGAGAACTACAGCTGAGGACTGCTGCTAACCAGATATATCTCTACCACTGGCTATGTACAGTGCCTAATATTTCTCAACTTTTTACTTAGCATAAGGTATTTAAATCTTTTGATGAAATGTAATACATAATTTGTTATTTCTCATTGAGCCCTTGGTGAAAGTGAATAATAAACATGAGAAGACAGGATAAATTTGCAAGAAATTAAAAAATGTTCTTGATTGTTAGATGCCAAATTAAAAATCCATTTTAGTTGTGCCATAAACTCAAAATGCAGAACCAAATTAAAAAAAATCAAGAAATATTGGGATAATAAATTAAAAGTATGTGCTCTAGGAATTTAGATTTCAGAACTGATGGTACAATTTTAGTACAGAGGGTCATGAATTGTTAGTAATCTCATAGACAGCAAGCTGCAAGTGTGTATAGGTTCAGCATGAGTCAACAGTGTGAAGCAAGGCTAAGAAAGAAAATATTTCAGGGCAG
The DNA here is from genome assembly GCF_000001405.40 of Homo sapiens. Lineage (NCBI taxonomy): Eukaryota > Metazoa > Chordata > Mammalia > Primates > Hominidae > Homo > Homo sapiens. The sequence continues at coordinate 115,364,532 of NC_000006.12, forward strand.
TGATCACTCCACTAAATTCTGCACTGGGCAGGCCACACCTAAGTCCTTGATTTTTAAAGCCACATTATTAGTGTTAGATGATGGAATGACCTACAGAATGATGACAGAATTAGTGAAGGGTTCAGAAACTCTTCAGTGTTGCAGATTAAAGAAACTCCAGAAGTAGAGTCAGAAAGATTAGGTTTGAAACCCTTTTATTTTAAATGAGAGTTAAGGAGTTTAGGGCAAGTTACTTTGTCCCCTTAAGGCCCAATTTCCTCACCTATAAAAAAGATATAATAATACTACCCCCTCCATAAAGTTGCGTAAGTTAAATAAGATCATTTATGCTAATGCATTTATGTAAGTTGTAACATGCTATGCAAATTTTATATGAGAAATAGTTGATCTGGTTCTGAACATCTAAAAACAATACTGTGGAAGAGAGAGAAGCTCATTACTTATGATTTCATATGATAGAAGCAGGAGTAAATGTAAAAGTGAAGTACATTAGGCTTAACGAATGAGAGAACATAATGACTAATGTGTCAACAACATTGTTGGTTGCCTCAAGAAGTAGTAAGCTTCCTATCTTAGGAGAAATTGAGGAAGAAATTAGACAAACAGCTTGATGGGGTAGTTGTAAAATAATTTGCCAAATGGCCATAAGTACTCTTCCTGGTGAAAGACTTCACCAATCCAGGAATATTTTGCTGGAATTCCAATATGCATTTCTACACCACTCAGTTGAGGACAACTGAATTTTTTTTCTTTTCTGAGAAAGGGTCTTACTCTGTCACTCAGGCTGGAATGCAGTGGCACAATCTCAACTCATTGCAACCTCTGCTTCCCAGGTTCAAGCAACTCTCATGCCTCAGCCTCCTGAGTAACTGGAATTACAGGCACGTGCCACCACACCTGGCTAATTTTTGTATTTTTAGTAGAGGTGGGGTTTTACCATATTGGCCAGGATAGTCTCAAACTCCTGACCTCAACTGATCCACCTGTCTCAGCCTACGAAAGTGCTGGGATTACAGGCATGAGCCACCACACCCAGCTGACAACTGTAAATTTAATAACTAGTTATAACCCTGCTGATACGGTTTGGCTGTGTCCTCACACAAATCTCATCTTGAATTCCTATCTGTTGTGGGAGGTACCTGGTGGGAGATAATTGAATCATGGGAGCAGGTCTTTCCTGTGCTGTTCTCGTGATAGCAAATAAGTCTCATGAGATCTAATGGTTTTATAATGGGGAGTTTCCCCGCACAAATGTTCTCTCTTTGCCTGCCGCCATCCATCTAAGATGTGACTTGCTCCTGCTTGCCTTCTGCCATGATTGTGAGGCCTCCCCAGCCACATGGAACTTTAAGCCCATCAAACCTCTTTCTTTTGTAAATTGCCCAATCTTGGGTATCCCTTTATCAGCCACGTGAAAATGAACTAATTGGTACCAGGAGTGAGGTGCTGCTGAAAAGATACCCAAAAATGTGGAAGTGACTTTGGAACTGTGTAACAGGCAGAGGTTGGAACAGTTTGGACCACCCAGAAGAAGGCAGGAAAATGTGGGAAAATGTGGAATTCCTTAGAGACTTGTTGAATGGCTTTTATCAAAGTGCTGATAGTGATACGAACAATGCAATCTAGGCTGAGCTGGTCTCAGACGGAGATGAGGAATTTGTTGGGAACCAGATCAAAGGTGACTCTTGTTATGGTTTAGCAAAGGGACTGGTGGCATTTTCCCCCTGCCCTAGAGATTTGTGGAACTTTGAACTTGAGAAAGATGATTTCGGGTGTCTGGTGAAAGAAAGTTTTAAGCAGCAAAGCATTCAAAATGTGACTTGGGTGCTGTTAAAGGCATTCAGCTTTATAAGGGAAGTAAAGGATAAAAGTTCAAAATTTTGCAGCCTGACAATGTGATAGAAAAGAAAATCCCATTTTCTGAGGAGAAATTCAAGCTGGCTGCAGAAATTTGCATAAGTAATGAGGAACCAAATGTTAATCCCCAAGACAATGGGGAAATGTCTCCAGGCCATGTCCAAGGTATTCATGGAAGCCCCTCCCATCACAGGCCTGGAGACCCAGGGGGAAAACTTGGTTTCATGGGCTGGGCCCAGGGTCTCTTGCTGTGTGCAGCTTAGGGACTTGGTGCCCTGCATCCCAGTAGCTCCAGCCATGGTTGAAAGGAGTCAATGCAGTGTTCAGGTTATGGCTTCAGAGGGGGCAAGTCCCAAGTCTTGGAACCTTCCATATGGTGTTGAGCCTGCGGTGCACAGATGTCAAGAATTGAGGTTTGAGAACCTCCACCTAGATTTCAGAAGATGTATGGAATCTCCTGGATGCCCAGGCAGAAGTTTGCTGTGGGGGTGGGTCCCTCATAGAGAACCTCTGCTAGGGCAGTGTGGAAGGGAAATGTGGGGTCAGAGCCCCCACACAGAGTCCTTACTGGGGCACTGCCTAGTAGAGCTATGAGAAGAAGGCCACTGTCCTCCAGACCTCAGAATGGTAGATCCACTGACAGCTTGCAACATGTGCCTGGAAAAGCCGCAGAGTCTCAACGCCAGCCTGTGAAAGCAGCTGGAAGGGAGGCTGCACTCTGCAAAGTCACAGGGGCGGAGCTGCCCAAGACCATGGGAACCCACCTCTTGCATCAGCATGACCTGGATATGAGACATGGGATCGAAGGAGATCATTTTGGAACTTTAAGATTTGACTGCCCTGCTGGATTTCAGACTAGCATGGGGCCTGTAACTCCTTTGTTTTGGTCATTTTTTTTTTTCATTTGAAATGGCTGTATTTACCCAATGCCAATACCTCCATTGTATCTAGCAAGCAACTAACTTGCTTTTGATTTTACAGGCTTAAAGGCAGAAGGGACTTGCCTTGTCTTAGATGAGACTTTGAGTTAATGCTGAAATGAGTTAAGACTTTGGGGGACTGTTGGGAAGGCATGATTGGTTTTGAAATATGAAGACAGGAGATTTGGAGTGGCCAGGGGTGGAATGCTACGGTTTGGCTCTGTGTCCCCACTCAAATCTCATCTTGAATTCTCACATGTTGTGGGAGGTATCTGGTGGAGGTAACTGAATCATGGGGGCAGGCCTTTCCTGTGCTGTTCTCATGATTGTGAATAAGTCTCACAAGATCTGATGATTTTATAAGGGGGAGTTTCCCTGCACAAGCTCTTTCTCTTTCTTGTTGCACGCTAGTTGCATACTTTTCATGTTAAACCATGGATGGGGCAAGAAGAAACAACATTTTTCAAAAGACAGATCTTACCCACTCCCAATATAATGTAGATAATCATTGGACAACAAGTCCAAAATTGTGTCTGAAATGTTGCTCTACATTTTTCATGCATGCACAACACATTCTAACTCTAGCCCCTATGATAGTGCTTAGAAAAACAGGATAACACGGACCCGTACGATAAGAGTAAAGTCAGTCAACACATGCAACAGCAAGCAGAGTAGGTGGGAAAGAAATTTTATGCCACCCAGCAAATAATCACCCTGGGAAATTCACAGCTTTAAAAATCTTACCTGGCACTTTAAAGAGAAAAATAGCCCAATCTCCCTTCTGACAAACCATATCAGTGATTCTATCTGAAAATAGAAGAGGAATAAAATCTCATACTTTAGAAAATAAACTTAACACTGAAGGGATTAAGAAGATATTTTTTCCTTTTTATCACCCAGTAGCACTTGACAATTGGCTAAAAGCAGAGGAGGCGGCACTTGGGGATTCTTTGCTTTCTTTTTGGCACATCAACAGTAGTTCGATAATGGCTTTGATAGACAAGGGTCCTAAAAAAGGAAGAGCAAATGCCAGCTTCCTTAATCTGAAGTTGTTAAGCAAGATGCAGACAGTTTATTCTCCTTGGTTACTGGGATTCTTACTTATAGAATATGTGAACGTAAATAAATGCACTCTCAATATTCTCTAAATAACAGATGGATAGTCATTTGGGGTAAAGAAGGTTATTTCTTTATATGCACACGCTCACACGCACAAAATCTATTTTACTAGCCAGGTTTCTCTTTCTGTCAACTCATTTCTAGTTTGGTGGAGCAATGAGAAGAATTGCATTAAGAATAAATCTTTAATCATCTCCAGGTCTATTTAGAAGCCAATCTGTGAGCCCTCTAACAGCAAAATTGTTGAGGTGAGCACAGTCTATTCCCTCACTCAGTGATAATTTGTAGTGGATAAAGTGCTGAAGGGGAAATCCATGCATTCTTGTGAGTTAGTCTCTATTTTAATAGTGCAGGACAATGAAATAGCAACAGATGGCCATTGTAAATCTTTCTGTTTTTCAGATTCAGCTTCCAAAGGGTGAAAATAATAAAAGAATTTGAAGCTCAAGTGAGAGAGGTTATAGTTTTGGAAACTCTATCTTGTACAAGAAAATGATGATCTTCTAGAAACTCTGATGAGGAGCCACAACCAAATAGACTGTTATAGGTAAGAGAGAATTTTTTCAAGTTGCCGATGTAGATCTGCAAGGTCATGTGTGCTAGTGTATTTGTTGAGGAAAGCAAGGCTTGTTAAATAGGCATACATGGACAAATGCGTTAAGAAAAATTTATGGGACAAGGAAGGAATGAGTGAAAGGTTTAAAAACATCTTTTCCAATAGTTGCTACATAGCCAGACATTACTTATTGATAGGCATAGTCAACAAGACTCACATGGGCACAGGTGGAGCCGTTCCTGGAAACTAGAGGATGTACTATGCTTATCTCTCTGTTTGCGTCTATGTCCCATTCCAAATACTTAAGTGGAGGCTGGCCTCTTGACTAGGTAAAAGTGGAGAAAGCATTCAGAAAACCTCTCTGTATACTGACTTATTGAAGAAAATAAAAAGTTATTATACTACACAGGAGAAATACTCCAAGAATGTAGTAGGTATGGTGATAAAAAAGTTTCTGAAGAGGCAGAGGAGAGTTTAATTTAAAAAAACAGAAAAAGCATTAGAAGGTTGGCATGAAACAGAGGAGAAATGAAAAGCGTAGGAGCAATTTCCCAGATAAATAATAAGTGTAAGGACCTTTTCCTAGAGGGTTAAGTAGGGTGTTTTACAAAATAGCAATAAACAATAATAAAATTTATGAGCATTACCAGATGCACAAACATAGCTACAATTCCGGCAAGAAATGATGGTGTCTTTGTGTCTGGTAACTTTCTGCTGAGGCATATGGTGACAGCCATATGGGGAGATGGCATGGCTAATTGGCTCTTATGCTGTCTTTCTGGAGTGTGAATCCAAGACATGACAGAAATCTTGCCCAGAGTCATCAACCTCACTCCTCTCTACTTCTATTGGTCCATGTTTGGATGAAGGATCGGGTCACAAAAACACATTTATCCTTTCAAGGTATATTTATTGAGTGACACTGTGCTAGCGGAGGCAACAGCACACATAGCACAGCTTTGTTCTCATGGGGTCTACACTCTTGTAGTTAGACAAGCATTTAGTCAATAACCACCTAGTGTTGTTATTGCTGAGATAGAGAAGTAAAGGGTGCCATAAGGAGATGTGTCTTTCCCTGAAGAGGAAATAGCATGAACTAAAGTCTGTAGATAAAAAAGAGGCAACTAAAAATAGTCAGCCAAAATGGTGCATCTCTAATAATCTTGACAACCTTGACTTAAAAATCACTTTAATATTTCAAGGAAAATATGAAACAGGAACCAATTCCATCCTCAACAAAATGAGGAAATATATGTAAATACAAAACACAATATATAATGATGGAAAACATTTTGATTATAATTGTCTGAAAAGAGACAGTCAAACCTCAGCATCCACAGAGGAAGAATCAAATGAGCTGCCAGATAAGTCATCCTGGAGAACCCTGTCAGAGATGTGAGGGATCTAGGAACGTGAGGTGCAGTAGGGTGATTGAAAACGGGATTCCTGCATAAGAATGGGATTCTATATAAGAATCATTTAAGCCTCCTCAGTACCCAAGTTACTACCACAGTGTATGTTTTAAAGAAAACATACCAGAGAAAATCCCAACTCCCAGGAAATATGATAAAACCTGGGGAAAGAAAAAATAGAAATAAATGAAATAGAATAAATAAACAGAATAAATGTTTGCAGGATAGCAAGCATTTGACTGATAGGAGTTTCATAAAGAAAGCAACAGAGGTTGAAGGTGGTGGTATTATTTAAAAGAAGAGAAAAACTTCCCTGGCCTGGGAAATAGAAGTTTCCTGATTGAATGGACTCACTGAATGCCCAGTACAATGAACAAAAAATAACTCACAGCAAATCATATCTTATGGAAATCTTGACATACCCAGGCTAGAGAGACAATCTTAAAAGCTTACAGAATAAAATTAATAACATAATTCAGGACATTGCCAAATATTTATTTCAAAGTAGATTTCAAAGTCATACTAGAATAAGAGCCTCTTAAAAGGAAACACAGCTCAACATGGTAGAAAGCATTACATTTTTTATTATACAATTCACCGTGAGGAAATAAATAAAATAAATGGTGTGAATTCACAGTAAGTTTACATATGAGTTAGGATTGTAAAAGGCAGTTAATTATATAAAAAAGAAACACCTTAATTAGGGGAAAAAATAAAAGCAAGGAATGTCACAAAATATTAAGAACATCAGGAAAGGTTGGCCATAAATTAGGTAAGACTTGTTAAAAAGTGTTAAGAAAAAGTGAAAGTTCAGATTAATCTGTGATGGGAGCAAGCAGAAAGGATATGTACATACTATTCTGATTTTGGAAATAAACCTTGCTGTCTGAAAATAAGGTTTGATAAATGAAAACAAAGAAGTCCATTTTTCAAAACGAGAAACCTACTCTGTATGTCAGTTAATTTCCTCATTTGTAAAACAAGGGTAGTTCATATGATGGTTGTAGGAATTAAATGAATGCATATAAAACATTTATAAAAATATCTGGCATACAGTAAACAATTGATGAGGTTAGTAATCACTTAGTTTTAATTCTGATTATTGCCTTATGTATTTTTCCTGTGAATTCCTAAATATATCCATACCTTACATGGAAAAACACAACAGGATGTAGAGTGGTATAGTGGTGGCCTGGTGGGAAATGGTAAAATGAGTAGAGTACAGATTAAGGCAAAGTTAGCCTGCAGAGAATAGAAAAGTTTGGATGGCAGTATTTCAACTTACATATCCAGTAGAATCTGACAAAGGCAGGTTTCATTTATACCATGACTATATCTATGAGTACTTTAGTAATGGTGCTGATGATCCACAGGGCCAAAGGAAGATCCTCTTTTTTATTTATAGCTGGGTGTCAGGCTTGTAGTTGTTGGGAAGTAGAGCAGACCTACTGTGTGATTTTAGTTGTAGTATCTGGCTAAGATCTTCAGGAGCCACTGCATCCGGCAGAAGCAGGAAAGAAGGACACCAAGTCCTGGCACATGGACTAGACTCACAGTGAAGCATTAGGGGAAAGGAAGGCATGTGATCCAGATTTAGTTGCCTGGGTTCTCACTCTAAGAACACAAAATACATGTTTTAGAAAAAGAAGGTTGATTTTCAGAACCACCTACTTGTGAGGATGGTGTTGTTATTGTATACTGCCAACACACAGAATATACTTAGAAACTTGTAGAACTGAGCTTGTTGGAAACTTGACTCAAGGCCTGAAGTTGAACAAGACGGGAGAAAGAACATAACACTCACAACTCAGCATTATTCAGTTATCTCCTGAGCAAACTTTGCCAAAATATTTATTCACTTCTCATTTAGTAAAAATAGCGTATTTAACATTATGTGGGTTTCAATAAGACATTTAAGGCCAGATGCAGTGGCTCATGCCTGTAATCCCAGCACTTTGGAATGCTGAGGTGGGAGGATGTCTTGAGCCTAGGAGTTCAAGTGAGAACCTGTCTTTATAAAAAGAAAAAAAAGGAAATGAAATTTAAATAATCAATGAAAATATTTGGAATGAGAAAATACATTTTAAGTATTTTCTTTAAAATCAAAAGAGAAAATTCAAGAGACTACTGAAATTATGGGAAATTATTATGAAACTTTGAAAGGCAGGTTTACAGAAAATAAATCTATGAGTAATAAGCTAAAAATTGAAAAGGAACTATTCAATTCACAATAGCAATGACAATTAAAAAGTGCTTAGGCACAAATTTAACAAGAAAAGTGTAGAATGCCTATAAAGAAAATCATGGAATCATATTGAAGGATGTAAAAAATTTACAAATAGAAGCATGTTTCTTTTTCTTAGGTAACACACTTTGTATAAGAATTGTCAATGACCTTAAAGCTAATATATAAATTTAGAAGTAATTCCAATTAAAATCCTAGCTGGAACTTTTTAATTATAAAATTATCTTAAAGATTAGGAAAGCATAATTATCTGATAATAACCAAGGCAATTATCTTGGGGTGGGGGCATTGCATTACCTTAATACATACATGATTCCACATAGTCAAAATATTTTAGAATTGAAATTTAAAAAGACAAATATATAAGTAGATATGGAACCCAGAAATAGAACCAAGTGTTATGGGAGTTTAATATATGAAAAACTTATTTCAATTCAAAAAGCAAAGAATTTATTTTTAACAATGCTGGTATAAGTTGCTGTCCATGAAACAGGATATGTCATTGAATCTTTTCTTCACACAATAAACAATAGAGAATTCAAGGCTTATAAAAGTTTTTACATAAAAATATAAAATAATAAATCTTAAACTTAGGAGAATATATGTATGACCTTGAGTTAGGCAGCCCTTCTTAATCAAAATTGGAAACTCAGAAACTACAGCATGAAAGAGCTCCATGATTGCCTTATTTGTTAAAATTAGTAATAATATTAGAATAAGGTAAAATATATCACAAACCAAATAAAGATAAATTATAATTTGAAGAAAATATTTACCAGGCACTTGACAAATTTAAAATGTAAATACTAAAAATAACCCAATAAAAAGAGCCAAAATGTTTCAGTAATCCATAGATGATTAAATCCAAACAGCCAATACATTTATTAAAATGTCCTCTGTCTCACTAGTGTTTTGGGGAAAGTAAATTTTAAATCCATAATGAAGTTCAACTTCTTTAAGATTAAACTGGAAAATATTAAAAGAGTGACAGCAACTGTGGCTGGTTGATATGAGAGGACAATAGTATTTTCACACTTTGCTGCTGGAAATACGAATTGTCACAGATGTTTGGAAAGCAATCTGTCAATAATTATTTAAAGTAAAAATAGGGATACCATTTGATCCAGCAACCTTACTTTTGAAAGTCAATCCCATGGAAATAAAAGCAGTAGGGTACAGA